>NC_000010.11:80446125-80597640 GCF_000001405.40 Homo sapiens
TGGTCCTGACCTCCTCACCCTCAGGGCCATTTGTTTCTCCGTTTCTTCCATCTCAATCACCTGGTCCCATGGATACACACCTCTGTCTGACCACAGCCTTGTGTCACCGTATCTCCCTTCTTCACATGCTGAGGGCCCTCCAGCCGCAGCCTCATCTTCTTTCCCCCTATCTACTAGCCCCTCCAGCTGTCACTTCTCTCCCCTAGTAGCCAAGCCTCAGGATACAACACCTCAACTGCTTTATTTCCAACCTTCTGGAATCCTTTGCACCATTGTTTTTCTATCATGCTCTCCCGGCAAACCCCAGATTTTGATCAATCCTGCTGTCTGTGCTCTCTGCACTTGCACATACTCCAGCTGCTGAGTACTGATGAAAAAGGTCATGTAATCTGAGATGTGTGTCACTCTCACTCTGGGTCTCCATTTGCAGCTGGGCTTGCAACCCTTCCCCAAACATTCCTGCTTGCCCCTGCTCAGAGGTGTCTCTCGTTCTCTCCTAGGTTTCTCTGAAATCCTTGGATCCCACCCAACACCCACTTAACCTTCAGCAGGTGCCCATTCTACTTCCAGAGAAAGTGGACCCCTTCCCTTAGGAAGCCCCACCGAACCCACAAACATCTGCATCCTCACCCAGCTTGTCTTCCTGCCTCCTGTCTCTATGAAGGTCCTGCTGTCCTCCAGTTTGGGGCTCTCCTCTTGTTCTGAACACCAATCCTTCCCACCTTCTCCAGCAAGCGTTTTCTCTCTTCCTTCAGACTCTCTTATCTCCCCTCTTCTCTTGCCTTCTCCCTTCATCATTTAAACATATTTGAGTCTCTCCTTTGTTTTTCTTGTTATTTTCTTTTAATAGAAACAGGGTTTCACTATGTTGCCCAGGCTCACCTGGAACTCCTGGGCTGAAGCGATTCTCCCACCTGGGCCTCCCAAAGTGCTGGTATTACAAGCATGAGCCATCGTGCCTGGCCCAAGTCTCTCCTTTCTTAAACAAACACCCTCCTGCAACTGCTTATCCTCATCATCTTCCAGTTAACAACCTCTCTCTCATTTTCCAATTGCTGTTCAGCCCACTGTTAACTGTCTTTGACCCAATTCTCCACTGAAACAGTTCTCTGAAGCTATTAACCCCATGGTTGCTCTTCAGCCTTGTTTCACTGGCCCTCTGCAGCCCTGGAAACTGGACCACTCCCCTCTTCTTGAAACACTTGTTGCCCCTGGACTTCCATCCATTCCACCCTCTTGGCTTTTCTCCTACCTCACTGGACAGTCTTCCTCAGTCTCTTTGGTCCCTCTGCTCTCTCGTTTTCCAAAGATTCTGTCCTTGGTCCTTTTCTCATCTCCCAGTCCCAAAATAATCTCCTCTACTCTGATGATTTCAATTATCACACACTGCTTCCTCAATATCGATTCTCCCTTCTTTCTTTAAAACAGGAGTTAATTTTTTAAACATTTCCCAACCTCCTTTGGAGTTAGGGTTTGTCATGTGACTGCACTCGGCGAGTGAGGCATAAGCAGTAGTCTGGGGATTTCTGGGTAAGTTTTAGGTGTTGCCCCTTCATTCTTTTTGCTCTTTCTTCTGTCTGGAATGTGGGTGGGAAGCTGGAGCTGGGGCAGCCATTGTATGACCACAAGCCAACTCTGTCCCCTAAGGAGAGCCAGACACACCAACAGAGAGGAGCTGGGACCTGATGACGTTGTGGGGCTGCTGATCAGCCTTGCTCTGCTTACCTTTAGACTTCTTGTTGTGTCAGAATTTTTTCCTACAACTACAGCGAGAAAGCTGAATGTAGTTAAGGCAATGTAGTTGTGTTGCTATTTTCTCTCCCCTCCCTCCCTCCATCCTTTCCTTCCTTCCCTCCTCCCTCCCTCTTTTCCCTCCTTTCCCTCTTTCTCTTTCTCCTCTCTCTCTGTTTTCTTTTTTTTTTTTTTTTCCTAAAGAGATGGGGTCTTACTATGTTGCACAGATTAGTCTCAAACTCCTGGGCTCGAGTGATCCTCCTGCCTCAGCCTTTCAAAGTGTTGGGATTACAGATGTGAGCCACCGCACCTGGCCTTGGGTTATTGTTAGAAAAGCTAAACACAATTTCAAATGGATACAACTTCCAAACTGATAACTTCTGTTTAGCTGTCTCTCTTAACTCCATACAGCAAATTGCACCTCTCCACCCTACCCAGGAACACTTCAAATGGAAGAGGTCTAAGGCATCACCTCTCACCAAACATATTATACATCCACACAGGGTCTCTTGTGTTCCTTCTCAGTGAATAGCGCCACTGCCCACGCAGCCAGAATATGATGTCTCTTTATTCCTCATTCTCCCATGCAATTAGTCACTTGTCAGTTCCAGCTCCTAAATATATCTTGATTCTGTCCACCTCTTTCTATTTCCTCATCATTTCTTTTCTAACCATTTTTTATTCCAATCTTGCTCCCTCCCACCTTCCCTTCCCACTCCAGCCTTAGGGATCTTTCTAAAGTACAGATATAACAATGTCACCATTCTGCCTAAAACCTGCCCAGGGCCTAAAGAATACTTGGTATAGAAGACTGCTAAAAATGATGATGTTGGCCCTGCACACACCACTACCCCTTCTTCTGCATAGGCCTTGCCCTACTGATCATAGGCATGGGCATGTGACCCAGACCTAGTCCAATTACGATATCTCATCTCCCTCATCACGCTGGTTGTGTCAGAGTTTGTTTGGCTCTCTCAAGCCACTCCATGTTGCTGTAAGAATGGGTCCAGGAGTGAATATGTGACCAGAGCTGACCCAATTAGGATCCTTTTCTTTTCTTTTTTCTTTTTTTTTTTGAGATGGAGTCTTCCTCTGTCGCCCAGGCTGGAGTGCAATGGCACAATCTCAGCTCACTGCAACCTCCATCTCCCCTGTTCAAGCACGATTCTCTCACCTCTGCCTCCTGAGTAGCTGGAACTACAGGCATGCGCCACCACACCCAGCTAATTTTCCTACTTTTAGTACAGACGAGGTTTCACCACGTTGGCCAGGCTGGTCCGAAACTCCTGACCTCAAGTGATCCGCCCGCCTTGGCCTCCCAAAGTGCTGGGATTACAGGCATGAGCCACTATGCCCGGTCGATCCTTTCTTGAGATTTGTTCATACCGACTTAAGAGTGTAGACTTACTCAGTCACATACCTGACATGGCAAACTCTGAGAACTAGGAGAAACAGAGGGTAGGGCCCCCGTTCTGGGACGTTGTCAGGATCAGCCCCGTTTTGTGTCACTCTGGTTTCAAGTTCTTCTTTCAATTCTGTGAGCAATCTGAGGCTCCTTCCAGTATCTCCCCTTTGATGACCTAAGCTAGTCTGAGTGGGGTTCTCATTTCCAGCCAAAATGTCCCGACTAATCCTTGGTAGTCTGGTCCTAATAAGACATCTTTCCTGGGTAACAGAGTTCTTTACAGCTTACCCAGTATTTTTCGAAGTTTTACAAACTTTATCTCTTTGGATTTTTATTACAAGCTTGTGAGGTGGGTTTTAGTATTACCTTGACTTTACAGATAAGAACAGCAGGGCTCAGGAATGTAAAGTGGTTTGCTCAAGATCATGTTGAGAACTAGGAGAGCTTGGACACCAACTCCCTCTTCTGTTCAATCTCACCCTGACCTGCCCATTGCCCTGTAAACACACACAGAGGCTGCAGAGTGGAGCCCAGGGTGGGAGTGCAGCACTGGGGACCGACACAGAGGGCTATAGAAGTCAGGGGAAGACAAAGGGCAAGCTCTTCCACTTACAATTTTATCTGTGGCAGCTTCAGGTCCAGGAAAAAGATAAGAAACTCTCAGCTTTTTTCTTTTCCTCCTTCCTATACTGTTTTTTGTTCCCACAGTCCATACATTAGGCTTGCAGTCTGCACTACAATTCAGTTATATGCTTGGCAATTATGGTTCTAGGTGCTAGCCAGGAAGGTAAACCACTGGTTACAATACAACCCTTTTATGAGTTGGGGCTGTCTATATTGAATTTTTTATTTTTTAATAAAGGAGAATAAAATAGACCTGTTTTGCATTTCGTGTCTCTGAGGCTCTCTCAAGCCACTCCATGTTGCTGTAAGAATGGATCAGATAGGCCAGGCACAGTGGCTCACGCCTGTAATCCCAGCACTTTGGGAAGCCAAGGTGGGCAGGTCATGAGGTCAGGAGTTCAAGACCAGCCTGGCCAACATAGCGAAACCCCACCTCTAATAAAAATACAAAAAATTAGCTGGGTGTGGTGGCACGTGCCTATAGTCCCATGAATCCAGGAGGCAGAGGTTGCAGTGAGCCCACGCCATTGTACTCCAGCCTGGGTGACACAGTGAGACTCCGTCTCAAAGGAAAAAAAAAAGAATGGGTCAGATAAAGCTCTGTGGGTCTCTGCTACAGCTGGGAATGGCAGGTGAGTGTCAGATGTGACTGTCTGGGGCATGGCAGGGAAGGCCATGCTGGCTTTGTGGGTATTCCCACCACACTTTTCATAGCAGCAGTGTGGCCAACTATTCCAGAAAGGACACATCTCCCAGACGCTGCTCAGGCCAGCAAGATCTCCAAAACCGCTCAGTCCATGGTTTGCAAAACTGGCTTCCCCATCTCCTTCCTCCTTGTTCTAGCTCATGACCTCCTGCACATGCAGGATTGAGCAGAAATCACCAGGTGTGAGTAATCATCTTCCCAATCCCAGCCTTTACCGGAAACCTCTCCTCGGCCTCCACACTCCTCTCCTTAATGATGGTGGAGGCGTCCCTTTGTAGGAGGTGACCCTCGTTAGTGCCTATACCCTATCTCCTTTCACCTGCTCTTCCTATCATGGCCCCTGCCTTCTTCTTAGATCATTCCTATCAGTGTGCAAGCCTGCTTCAGTGACTCCCATATTTTAACAAACCCCTCTTTATTCCAACAAATGTTAGAATTAGATGTGGCTACATGTGCCATAAAACAGAGGATTAAACAAGACAGAAATGTCCTTCTCCCATAAAGAAAGTCAAGAGGTAGTAGTCCAAATGTGTGGTGGCTCCCTACACATTAGCATCCACATTTATTCTCACTTCCACTAACATCCTCAACACTTTGGCTTCCACTTAAGATCCAATATGGATGCTTGAGCTCCAGCTATCTATTAATATATCCTAGTGGGCAGGAAAGAGTAAAGCACATGACTTCCCTTTAAAGCCAGTTTTGAATTTGCACATGGACTCCTACACTTACTTCCTATTGGGAGGAATGAAGTGTAGCTGCAAGAGAGGCTGAGAAACTTGCCTTTATTCTGGGAAGCCATGTGGCCAGACAGAATTAGAAATTCTATGAAGGGAAGAGAGAATTACTACTAGGGGCATCTAGCAATCTCTACCAAAGCATCCTATGCTTCCGTATCCTTTCTAGATCCCTCCCAGTTCTCCATTCCCTGTTAGACAAGTTGTGCAAATATGGTAGCTCTACCACAGCATGGCTTCCACCACTACTCCAGGAACACTGCCCTCATCATGTTCACCAATTGCCTTCATGTTGCCAGAGCCAACAGGTCCCAGTCCTCATCTTACCTGATCTCTAAGCAGTGTCTAACACAGCTGACAACTGCTTTCTGGAAACATTTTCTCAGTCTCTGGGATACTCCTGATTCTCCTTCTGCCTCCCCAGTCTCTTTTTCAGTCTTCTTGCCTGCTTTGGTTCCCCTGGGTCCCTCCTGAACTCTCTCCTCTTCTGCATCTACTCCCTCACCCTGTGTGTCCTTCTCAGATCCCGTGGCCTTGAGCATCTTTATGCTGATGTATCCCAAAGCCCCTCTCCCGCCCTGGCCTCTCTTCTGAGTTCCTAGTGATGAGATAACCCCGCTGGTTCTCTAACAGGCATCTGAAGCTCCATGTGGCTTGAACAGAATTCCTGATGTAACTCCCTGAGATGTGGTTCATGCTTTTTGATCCAATAAATGAAGCACTATCCACCCACTTACCCCAGCCAGAAACTTGAGTTATCTTTGGTTTCTCCATTTCCTGCCCCCATGTCCTTCCTATCAATGTGTCCTCTTAAGTCCAAAATAGCATCTCTCAACTACTCATCTTAGCATGACCACCACTTTGGTTCAAACCACCATCATCTTTGGCCTGGATTGTGGCAAGCCTAATTGGCTCCCTGCTTTTATTTTTGCCTGACACCCACACACAGCCTTAAATCAGAACATGTTAGTCTTCTGCATAAAACCCTTCCAAGGCTCAACAAAGTCTCCATTCTTTGACACAGCCCACAGGCCCTGCATGCTTTGGCCCCCACCCACCTTCTCACTCCATCCTGGGCCTCTTCCCCTAGGCTTAAAACTTCAGCCACACTGATTTTCTTTCAGTTCCCTGACCCATCCAGAACTTACCCTGAAAAGGCACCTACTGCTCTCAGCGAGGAATGTCTCTGCCCAACTTTTCCCAAGGCTAACTCCTTACTCTTTTGACTTCAATTTCAGCATCGCCTCCTCACTTTCCCTGACTGCTTCATCTAAGGTAGCTTTTATTCTCTATTCTAGCCCCTTGTTTTTGTCCCAGCCTTTACTTCAACTTGTGATTATGTATTTGTCTTCTCCACTAAAAATTAACTTTATTGGGCAAAAGGCCTCAGCTGTCTTGTTCACTGAAGTATCCCACCATGCACACAGGGCCTGGCATATTATCAGGCACTCAGACAAACACTCACTATCTGCTGAATGAATGGACAGGTTCCCAGGGAGTTTCCAGAGCTGCCTGGGCTGTCACAGACAGGTTGCATCCCTCTTAATTAAACAAACAAATAAAATTAGCCAGGCACCGTGGCTCATGCGTGTAATTCCAGCACTCTGGGAGGCAGAGGCGGAAGGATTGCTTAAGCCCAGGAATTTAAGACCATCACTGGCAACACAGCAAGATCTCGTCTCTACAAAAAAAAAAAAAAAAAAATTAGCTAGGTGTGGTGGCCTGCACCTGTGGTCCCAGCTACTTGGGGAAGCTGAGGCGGGAGGTCGAGGCTGCAGTGAGCCATGGTCATGCCACTGCACTCCAGCCTGGGTGACAAAGCGATACCTTAGCTCAAAAAACAACCCAAACAAACCTGGGAATGGACTGAACAGTCTCCATTTCAAGATTTCCTCCTTCCATTGGAATTAACCTGTTGGTTGCTTGTACTGGCATGTGGCAACCAGTCTTAGCCCAGTTTTAATAGATCCCTGTTTGGTGTTACTCAACAGAGAAGACCACTCGGCCCTCAGCCACCGAATAAGTTTAAGAAACAGAGGTGTGGCATGCTTCATTCTACAGGTAGGGAGGCTGAGGCTGGGGAGCCGCCCCTGGCTATCCCTGGAAACCCCTCTACCCCACAGGAATCGTCCCAGCCATCTCTTTAGCGTAAAGGTGAGGAACAAATCTCAGCCACGATCCAAAGAGGGGCGCCACCCCTGGCTGTCCCTGGAAACCCCCCTACACCACAAGAATCGTCCCAGCCACCTCTTTAGCGTAAAGGTTAGGAAGAAATCTCAGCCACGATCCAAAGAAAGCTTGGTATTTTTAGCACCAAGGCCAGAAGGAGCGTGTCCTTACTCCTTGGTTTACAAAGAAATAAAAACCTTTTCCCCATCCTTCTTTTGATTGAAGACTACCCCCGCCCCCAGGCTCCAAAGCCGGGCAGGAACGCCTCTTATCTCCACCACAGCCATTTTCCTAATCCTTCGCCCGCTCTCCACGGTCATCCCGTGTATCCCTCGAGACGCCGCCTCCCACAGCTCGTGCTTCTCCCAGGTTCGGCTCCGACAAGGCCAGAGCGGCGTCTGCGCAGCGCAACGGCTCAGAGCGCTCCCGGCGGCTACAAGTGCCCGGCCCCGGGCCAGGCCCGGCCTGCGCCGCGCACCCACTGGGAGGGCGCGGACCGGGGCCGCCCCAAGCCTCCGGCACCGCCCAGAGCGGGACAAAGGGGCGGGCCGGCGACCCGGCCTCGCGGTCCCCGGTGCCGCGCGGGCCGGGAGGCGGGGTGCGGTGGGGGAGGGGCGAGGCGGCTGGGGGAGGGGCGGGGCCAGGGCGGGCCCAGGCGCCCGGGGCCGCACCGGGCGGCGCAGGGAAGCGGCGCCCCTTCCTCGGCAGACGGCAGGCGCCGCGCCTCCGGCCCCGCCCCTCCGCGCCCCTCCGCGCCCCGCCCCCGCCGCTCGGACGGCCCGAGTCGCGCCCTCCCGCCCCGCGCCGCGGAACTTGCTCTAACTTCCTCGGCCGAGCCGGGCCGCGCCGCCGCTGCCGCCGCCGCGCGCGGGTGAGTAGAGCGCGGAGACCTGGCTGGGGCGTCGGGCCCTGCCCCTTTCTTTGTCTGAGGCCGACTTCCCCGAGCGTTCTCCGGGGGCGAGGGCTGCTCCTTAGGTCCCTGTTTGGCCCCTCAGCCTCCCTCCCCGCCTGCCCAGGAGCGGCCCCGCGGGCGGCGCTGGCTTTGTCTGCCAGGATTGCTCGCTAGAGGTTGGAGGCCTCCGCCGGGACCCCGCTGAGCCGAACTCCGGCGCCGCGCGGACGAGAGCCGCGGCGGGCCCGGGGCCGGCACTCCTGGTTCGGTAGCCCTCGCCCCATCAGCGCGCCCCGGCGAGTGCGCGCCCGTGCCGGGCGGGGTGAGGGCGACGGGAGCCTGGACGGCCGCTGCTGCTCGGGGCTCTGCTTCTCGTCCCCAGCAGCGAGCTCGGGGATGGGCCACCCTTTCGGCTCAGTCACCCACCCTCGGCTCCCAGGAGATCGGGTCCGGGGTGGGGGTGGGCGTAGGCCGGGGCGGGCCGCCCCTTCCTCCTGCCCCGCCGTGGTTGTGCTCAGTCTCCCACGCCGCCGTGGGTCCCACTCTGCCCGGCTTGGGTTTGGGACGGCCGGAGTTTGAGTAGGCGGTGACCCAGCTTCTCCGCGTTAGTCGTGTGGGGTTGTGTTTGGGAGCAAAGCCTGACCCCTGACCTAGCCGGAGTTCTGGTAGAGTGAGGTTTGTGGCTGCGGACTGTGCTTGTCCCGGGCCGCTGCTGCTTCTCCTCCACCCCCAGGGGTGGGGTGCGGGTGGGTAGGAAGTGCCTGTGTGAGGGTGTGTGGAGGGACTTTGGCCCTGGGACCGCAGGAGCACTTGTCTTGGGGACTTAAAGTTGATCTCCGGCGAGAAACAGTCCGTGCTAGGGGGAGTCGGGGGAAGTCGTGGGCCCGGGTACTGGCCTGGGGCTGGGCGCAGAGCGGTGGTGAGTGCGGCGGTGTCACACACTCGTTGGCTGTGCTGGCGCTGCTATCCGGGAGGTCAGGCGGTGCTGGGCGGCTGTGCAGAGCATTGTATTGGAGCCTCTGCAGGTGTGCTCTTGGCAGTGGTCTGCTCTCCAGGGGATCTTCCTCCCTTCCGAGAGGGAGTTGCTCTTGGGCTAGTGAGAGAGTGGCCTGCCAAATCCTCAAAAGTAGCCTTCCCCTTGCCCCTTGACCTTGAAGTCCAGAAGCAGTTAGTGCCTGCTGAGTGCTCCGGCCACCCTTCTCTATTTGTGAAGGGAAACCTGGGGACAGGCCATCGGAGCACCCCTATGTCCTTGCCACATTTCAGCTAGCCGAGTGGTTGGTGGGGGCGGCCGTCTTTCCAGGGATCTTCCTGGGCCCTGGCACCCCCAGAATGAAGCCCAGACTCCACCATAATGGCCCTGTATGCCCTTCTATCCCCTTAGCTGCTGGTGTGATCATAGCCTCAAATTGCTGGGCTCAAGTGATCCTCCCACCTCAGCCTCCCAAAGCACAGGGATTACAGGTGTGAGCCACCACGCGCAGTCTGATCCCACTCCGATCCCTAACGTTATAGTGACAGGCCCTGGAAACCCAGGGCCACCAGATGTATTTTCCCTTTCCTTCTCATTGTGTTGCACCCCAACTTCAGTTGGAGACTCTGGATATATCCATCCCCACATCTCTGAACTCCACTGCTTGGGCCACCTAATGTCATCCTCAGTTTAGTTAACAAAGCATGGTTGAGATTTCTGTGGGGTGCGAGGCATTGTTGCAGGCACTATTCCAAGTCTGGAAAGTCCCTCACCAGCTATGAACTTGGTGTGGTCTTAGAACCCAGGCTGGACATGGCATAGGTGCTCAGTAGTGTTTATTGATCTGAGCTTGATCTCAGCGTAGCAGGATCATTTAGGGAGACGGGGTTGTGGGGGGGGTCTGAGCCCATGGGTGCTTCTGAAGGTTTGTGGCTGCCCCAGGAAGAAAGGGCATGGAGCTGCAGAATGGTTGGCTGCCCAGGGAATTGTCCCCTTCACCAGCTGGGCAGCTGTGCTAGTCTCTGAGGACTGGTGAAGGTCCTTCTCATGTAGGAAGTGGCAGTATGAAGTGGGAGAGGAGATGGCTCTGCCCTGAAGGTTGTGGCGGCAGTGAAGTGAAGTTCCCATGGAGGCCGGGGAGCAGGAAAGCCCTGGGTTCTGGAACTATTTCCTGAGGCCTCACTCTATGCCACCATGTGCTCAGGAATTTGACCCATTTAACTTCAACTGAGGTAGAATTCCTTTTAGCAGTGCCTGCAAAGTGGCATTGTGCCAGGCCTGGGAAACCTTTGCTGGCTTAAAATTTAGTGAAGGACAAGATTATTTCATAGTGATACTAATGTGAGTTTATTGAGACTTACACCCTAGAAGTTTGACTTGTAATAACTCATTTAATCCTTGAAAACAGCTGTGATGGCTGGGCGTGATGGCTCATGCCTGTAATCCCAGCACTTTGGGAGGCCGAGGTGGGTGGATCACCTGAGGTCAGGAGTTCAAGACCAGCCTGACCAACACGGTGAAACCCTGTCTCTACGAAAAATACAAAATTAGCTGGGCGTGGTGGCACATGCCTATAATCCCAGCTACTTGGGAGGCTGAGGCAGGAGAATTGCTTCAATCTGGGAGGTGGAGGTTGCAGTGAGCTGAGATCGCGCCGTTGCACTCCAGCCTGGGCAACAAGAATGAAACTCCATCTCAAAAAACAAAAAACAAAAAGCAAAACAACCGTGATGTCAACAGCTCCATTTTACAGATGAGGAAACTGTGGTCCCGAGAGGTCACAGAGTAACTTGCTTGAAGTCTCAATATGAGCTGGGTTTTCTCATTTCTTTTTTTTTGATACTGAGTCTCACTCTATTGCCCAGGCTGGAGTGCAGTGGCGTGATCTCGGCTCACTGCAACCTCCGCCTCCTGGGTTCAAGTGATTCTTCTCCTGCCTCAGCCTCCCAAGTAGCTTGGACTACAGGTGTGCACCACCACACCCAGCTAATTTTTGTATTTTTAGTAGAGATGGGGTTTCACCATGTTGGCCAGGCTGGTCTTGAACTCCTGACCTCAAGTGATCCGCCCGCCTCGGCCTCCCAAAGTGCTGGGATTACAGGCGTGAGCCACTG
Organism: Homo sapiens; assembly: GCF_000001405.40. Classification (NCBI taxonomy): domain Eukaryota; kingdom Metazoa; phylum Chordata; class Mammalia; order Primates; family Hominidae; genus Homo; species Homo sapiens. Next base: position 80,457,480 of record NC_000010.11, read on the forward strand.
TGCCGGACCAGGTTTTCTCATTTCTAATTTAGACAATATGTTCCTCTCAGAGGTGATTAAAATGGATTCATATACCAAACAAGCCTGGCCCACAGTGGAACTAATGAATGTTTTCAGTGAAGGTGCCCTTGTATCCCTGCCTCTGAACACATCTCATCTGTCCAGCACAGCCTGGGCACATAGCAGGTACCCCGGAACCCCCGCTGATTGGTGATGGAGCTTCTGTCTCCCTAAGGCCAGGGAATGGGAAGACCAGCACTACCACATGCAGAAGATTGGGGAGTCACTGCTTGTGTCTGTCTGGACAGATCACGGTTTGCTGTGGTAACAGCAATCCCCAGGTCTCAGAGGCTTAAAGCAACAGAGGTTTATTTCTTGTTCACACTGCATGTTCATCACTTATCTGCTTTATGTTGTCCTCACTGGGGGGACCCATAGTGATTAGTGGGAACACCCCTGGTGGCTTGGACAGAGGGACAGAGAACATGATGATCCCTGTGTCCTGCCACTGAGTCCTGGTGGCCTTTAAGATGCCTATGGGAAGGGGATTAGGTTCCTGCTGCCTGTCTCTGCCCTGCCGTGTCAGTCCTTGGATATCTTGCATGTTCCATCCGCTACCTGGATGTGGCCTGTAGGGGCAGCCACCTTTCCTAGAAGCAGGAGCAGGTAGCGATACCCAGGCAGGCCTGGTCCTCCCCACTTTTGTGGGACTCGGGGATTGAGCTTGCAGGCATAGGGGTGTAGAAAGCAGTGGTAGCGAGGTGACTGAAGGTGGACTCCCACTGGGGATGGGATTGAGTGTGGGGCTAGATCCCTGGTCTGTAGAAGGGAGTAGGAACCCTGTTAGTTAAATTTTCCCCCTCAGGCCACGTTAGTAGGATTTTGAAGAGTCAGCCACACTGTGGCTCTTGATTTTGTGCCTGGTCACCTGCTTGGTCTCTGGTGATTTCCCTCGGGGCCAGCAGACACTGTTGGAGGTGGTGAGGCCTCAGGTTCTTCTGCTTCATGGTTAACTCACTCTGCTTAGGCATATTTCCACCTTTTCCAGGGCCTCCGTTTTTCTGCCAGTGGATTGAGAGGTGGTGGTGGTCTCCAGCAGTGGTCTCACTCTTGGCAGGCTATCAGAGTACCCAGGGAGCTGCGTAGAATGAAGTTTTGAGAGTCTTTGGTCTAGGTGAATGCCAGCGTTTCAGTTTGCTTATCTTCCATTATAGTAGTGTCCTCTGTAACTGTGAATCAGGGAGGTTATTCATAATATCTCCACATCCATTTTCTCCCTTAATTGCGTATGCTTTTGATTTAGACAGGGCAAGTAGCCATTTTGGTGGAGCGCAGGCCCTGGCAGGGGGGCAGTGTCCAGTGCCGCTCTCAATTAAACGTGAAGATGTGAAGATGAATAACACTGTCCAGCTTGCAGAGTGGACGGTGGTGAGGCAAGCTTTCAAGTTGCACCTACTTTCTAGTTGAGTGACCTACACAAGTCTTTGATTTTTTTTTTTTTTCTTCCTGGAAAAAAAAAGTTGTCTACTTTTCTCATCTGTAAAGTGAGAAGAATCAAGTCTGCCTTTTCTGTCTCACGGGGTTGCAGTGAAGCATTAGTACCCTGAGAAGCAAGATCCAAAGCCCCTGAGTTAGGCCTGACACTGGTGTGAGACAGCTGCCATCTCTGGCGGCACTCAGCAAGTGTTCACCAGCAGCTGATTCTGGGAACCTCACTTCCTCCGCCCTTGGGCTTGGTGGGGTTGGGTAGGGTTGGGTGGGGCTGTGGTTTTCTTTTAGGAGGCAGCAGGCCAGGCCTGGAGACCAGAGCTTAAGTGGGCCTGGGCAGGCTGGGGTTGAAACTCTTCACCCCTTGCGGTCTGTACTGCCTCCCAACTGAGCAGCCAGGGAGAAGGCCTAGAGCCTGTGCCTTTCAGCTAGATAGCTGGAGGAACTGGCTCCTCCCTCCTTAGGCTGTGCTGGCCTGAGCTGGGAGCCTGAGAGCTGGGGCAGTTGTCTCTAAAGTGGCTTCTGGGATTCTGGTAAGAGGTGAGCTCCTGGTGCTGCCTCAGAGTCTTTGTGTTTCCTGGCATTTGGGAGAGCTGGAGTTGGGCTGTCCTGCATGGGTAAGGTTTGGGGAGGGACTGGAACAAGGGGCTAGTGAACCTTCTCTGGGTTTTTCCTGCCTGACTATGCGTTGACAGTCCCAGCTGTTGGGCCTGTGCTCCTGTACACTGCACGGCCTTGAGAGGAGTTCGGAGCCCTAACATCCAGGAGAGAGGCCCCACAGCAGTGGAAGGAAATGGGCCTCTCCCGAATCTCTTGTTTGTACCCCGAGGTCTGAGTGGTGATCCTGGGGATGCTATGGGACTCTCAGCAGTAGGAGTGTGTCTGTCCCCAGTCTGGGTGCCCACCAGCTGTGCTGAGGGTCCTCTCCTGTGTCCCTGGGCCAGGCAGACAGGGTCTTTTTCTGGGGCTTGTTAGGGGAGGTCAGCCACAGCCCCAGACCAAGTAATTTACACACCCTGAGTGAGGGGTGGGAGCAGTGGGTCCAGGAAGACTTAGGGAGCTGGTGAAAGAAAAACTTAATTCTGACACTTGTTAAACTGGTAAGGTAGACTGTATCAGGACTATTACGATAGATGTAGGAATTATCGCAATGGATTTTGCAGTAGAGGGGAGAGAGTGGGCCAACTCCAAATACAACAAAGAAAAGTGGGAACTTATAGCCAAGGAGCGGAGTGTGGGGGCTCCTGAAAATTTCTAAGAGGGTAGGGAAATTTTTACTAAACTTAGCTAACTGAATTCTTGCTGCAGGCAGGCCAGGGTGATCAGGTTTTACCTGGGAGATAGTACAGGATGAGAAATACGTTCAGATATCCAGGGTGATTAGATATTGAGGTTGGGGGATTCTGGTTAACAGGAGTTTTGCTAAAACTAGGCTCTTAGAGAGAATGGAGTTAGGAACCCTAGGTCAGGACCAGATGAGTAGAGGGCTCAGAGGAATAAAGTTTGGTGAGGGACAGAATCTCTGTCAGTATCCCGTGGTTGGCAGTGTCCTGTCCATTCTTCTTGCACTGGCCTGTCCCTCAGGAGACAGGTGTGAGTGGTCCTGAGCTTGGGCCAGTGTAAGAGTAGGGGACAGGTTTCTCTCCTTGTAGGTGTCCCTTCTTGTAAGTGTCACTCTCTTTTTTTCCAGAAACCTTGGTCCTTTTCAGCATCTGCTGGCCCCTTGTCCCTTGGCTCCCTTGCTCTTGGCCTGCTGGATTTCCCCTCTGCACCCAGGAAATCGCATGGACCTGGGTCCTTGTTTCCCTACAGCCCACCAATTTTGCTGCTTTTTTCTGCCCCCTGAAGCTGAGCTCCTGCTGCAATTTGTGTTCCCTGCTCTCCCTGTCCTGGGCAAACCAGTCTGACAACTTTGTGGTTCTCGCTCCCGCCTCCATCAGCCTGGGGATTGACTGTCCCATTTGTCTGAGCTGGGCAGAGGGAGGTGCTGTGGGGGATCTCTTCCTCTTGCCTGGACTGCACACTCCTGCTGCCTTCTAGCCGGAGCTCCTGGGCATTTTGCCTATGGGAGCTTCACCAGCTTCCTTCTGTCTGAGGCCTACAAGTCCCTGCCTCCAGCCTACCTTGTTCCTCCTCCATGAGTGAGGCTCCTCCTTTTCTCTCTGGCCCTCCTGTCTACTTGATCAGACTCTGCCTCTCTTGAGGGCCGGCTCCCTCCAGCCTACCCTGCACAGGTGACCCTGTTTGGCCTGCCTCCTTTTCTTGAGGCTGATCTTGTCTCAACAGTCAGCTTTTCAGGAACCAGGCCCTTGCTGTTGTAAGGAAAACCTGTCGGCTGTGGATGGGGCCTTCCCTCCTTCCTAAAGGCTCTGTAGCCAGCTTCCACCCTTGCAGTGGAACAGTGGTGGTGCCAGAACCCTGCTCTCTGCAGCCATCCTGCCTACCACAGTCATTGTGTTTTGTAACTCTAGTAGCTTCTTGTGAAATACAAGTGATGGTATAAACGTGGATAGGTTTTTGAGGGGGGCATGCCAAAATCAGAGTTGGTGGTAGTGGTGGGGGATTCATTCCCAAGGGCTCTGGGGTGCTAAGTGTGTGAGCAAAGAGGAACAAGTGGCATGTGCCCAGGATGGGGTGGGGCGGGCAGGTTTAGTTGAGGGCTCCTCTGGTGTAGGGTAGCCCTGACGCTCCCCTCCATGGCATGACTGATGAGGTGGCAAAGGCAGGTGCCAGGATTTGGTGTGTTGAAGATTAGTGCCTGGGTTGGGCTCTGCTCACTCCTGCAGAAAGACGGTTGGAGAGGGGCTGGTCTTGGTTTCACAGAGGATTGTGGGATTACAGGCAAGACCTGCTGAGGGCTTGCACTGAGCCACCGAGAGGAGCAGAAAGAGATACGAGGGCTTCAGGTGCCAGTATGGTTCTCACTGTTGTGAGATCTCATTTGTGCCTTTTTTTTTTTTCCTTCAGACAGGGTCTCACTCTGTTGCCCAGGCTGGAGTGCAGTGGCCCTATCACAGCTCACTGAGGCCTCCACCTTCCTGGCTCAAGTGATCCTCCCGCCTCAGCCTCCTGAGTAGCAGGGACCACAGGCATGCAGCACCACACCCAGCTAATTTAAAGAATTTTTTGTAGAGATTGGATCTTGCTATGTTGCCTAGGCTGGTGTCAAACTCCTGGGCACTTGATTTGTGCTTCTTAATTCAGGGGCTACTTATTGAACATATTTAGCAGTCTTCAGAAAGCATCTTATTCTGTAAGGGGAACCAAATATACCCATTCCCCCTCTCTGGCCTTCTTTCCCTGTGGTCTGGGCGGTCTTTGAGCTTGAGGTCATTAGGAGGTGTTTATTTCTGTCCGCCCTGGTGGCCTAGGGCGTAGGAATGGGGTGGGATGGGATGGGATGGGGTGGGGTGGGGTGGAGGAGTTATTCTACATAGATAGAGTTCTGTTTATGCAGCACTCCCTGCCATACACATCTCTCACTCAAATGGTCTGGCCAGTCCTGGTTCTAATGGTCATTGTGTCATTCCCCTCAGCAGCAGGAAAGGCTGGAATGGTTTTTGTATTGTTCCTTAGGGGGAAAAATCACTTGGAGGAAGTATATCAGTGCTTCTGAGTGCAGAGTATTTATTGACACGTCAGTTAAAGGAAGCTTTTAAACAACATATATGTATCTCTTTAGTGAGGAATAAATCTACAAGTGCATCTCACAGCTCCATTTTGCAGCTTCCATTTCCTGGAAGGTACATGGAGTTTAGTGGTTAGGGAATGGGGTTTTGAGCTGGGATTTTGGAGAAACTGTTTTTAGCCTGTCCTTGGAATTGGGCCAGGCCTAGAAATCTGTTGAAATAGCTTTCTTTAGTTGCTGAAACTGGGATGTGTTCATAGCACTAGGACCTCGAGCTCCACTGATGACTGAGTGGGGAGGGCTCAGAGAAGGGTCCCTGTGGATGCCCGGGATGCCTGGGTTTCAGTCCCGTCTCCTGCATCGCCTACATTGCCTGAATCTTAGGGTCTTACAGATTTATCATGAAGTGGGCTTGGCAGCAGATGGTCTGGTTTCTTTTGTGCCTTTGTCAGAATCTGTTCTTGCTCTTCTTAGGAAAACTTTCTATTTCAGGACTTGGGGTGGAGTCGAAAGCAGGGAGCCCTGTGAGTTGGTGAGTCTGTATCCCTGAGGCTGCCACTGCCTGACCCCCTCCTTCCCCTTGTTTCGTTTCCCCTCCCCATTACTCTGCCTTGTTCTAGGGAAACACCAGAAGCTGCCTGCAGACAGCTACGGGTAAAATTGTGTGTCCAGCCACAAACTTTAGGCATTTTAAATATTAATTTAGGTTTAACATTTTTATTTACAAAAATGTATACATGATGAAAAACACATAACAAAGATACACGGTGAAAACTCCTATTTCTATCCCTGACCCCTTCAGTTCTGCTCCCCTGAGGCCGCTGTCACCAGATGTTCAGTGCCTAGTCAAGCATGACTGTATTCCTCTCTTGTTTATTACCCCAGTGGTATACTAATTATGCTGTTTTGCACTTCCTGATTTTTACTCTGAGAATTTATCCCAGGATTGTTCCATTTTAGCACACATAGTTTAGTCCATTCTTTTTAACAGCAGTGCATGATTCTGCTGCACAGTGAATGATGACTCACTTTACCAGCTCTCTATTGATGGATTTTGAGGTTGCTTTCAGTGTTTTGTTTCTATAGGCTAAGCTGCAGGAGTGTCTTATGCATGCTGCAGGTCTGTAGTGGAAATGACTAGATGTGGAGTTACTGCATTAGGTGTGTAAAAGGAAAAGAAACATGCGGCTTTGATTCCGAAAGGGGGAATGAAAGTTTACAAAGTTTTCTTTTGGAGGGATCTTGGCCTTCTACAGAGACAAGAGCTGGAGAAACTACTGGGAAGGCATGAGAGGTGCCAGCGTGTTGGTTCCCACCCAAGTCCATCTTTGGTTCAGTTCAGGCCAGCCTGTCTCCGTGACCTCCATATTTACAGCCCTTGGCTGGCCCTCTGGCTCATGCAGCCTGTGCCCCTAAAAGTGTGAGGAGTCAGCCAGAGCGAGTTGGGGTGTAGGGAGGCGGGGAGCAGGCTTCTCATAGTGGGTTCCAGCAACCTCACGACTTTGCAGGACCTATGTGGGGTGTGAAGGGGGAGCGTTGGTTGCAGCAAGCTGGAGCTGGCGTCAGCTTTTAGAGGAGCAGATTTTCCCGCAGTGTCAGGGGTTGGTGTGAGGATCGGCCTCCTTCTCTGGCCTCCCTTGGCCTTTCGCTGCTCTGCACACCTCCCTGTTCAGGCCGCCTTGGGCCTGGTTGCCACCCTGTGATTTTAAAAGCCTGTGTAAAAGGCACCTGGTGAAAATAATAGATGGGTTTTGTGTTTTGAGCGGGAGCTTCCTTTCAGAACAGAAATGGGGTACGGTTCTTCCTGGGATGGGTGGGGAAGGAGGGACAGTCGTGAGAGCATGTTGGAGGTGCCCACTCTGTGTTGGGAGCTCTCTGGTTGTTTCCCTGTGTGGCTTTCACTGCCCCATGCCAGGGCAGGGTGGGAAGCAGGGAGACTTTAGGGCTGGCTGGCAGATAGACCTCCTAAATAGACCCTGACCTGGTGGGTTTGAGGCTTGTGTCCCTGCCATGGCTCTCCCACCCTTCTACTCAGAGAACTTCTCACCATTGCGGTTACATGCAGTCCCCGTGAGAAGGCCAGAGCTTCCCATGTGCAGCTCATTGTCTGGGCCTGGGTCCTTGGTAGCACAGAGGTTTCTATTGTGGCCTGGTGGCAGTGAGGGCTGACCTGTGGAGCTGAGGAGGCGGGACCTGGGGCCTCACAGTGGAGCTATTCAGGGGCTCTGCCCTGGTTTCCTGCTGCTTCCCATTGTAGATTTTTTTGGGGGAAGGGTGGGAGGGAACTAGAGAAGGAGGAGAGTGGGAGAGGGAGTGGTCAGTGCAACTATTGTTGCTGGTAGCAGGAGCCCTTTATGCTTAATAGAGGTCCATTTGCAGACAGCCTTGAGCCACTCCAAGGCCCATCATGTGTTCTCAGATTCTAGTTTCTGCCTCTGTCAAGATCCCCCTTCGCCCTTCTCAAGTCCCTGTGCTTGCCTGGAACACCTCTGGGTAAGAGTTCTGAGCAGCTGGGCAAGGAGCAGGAGTGGCCGGTGCCAGGCTTGTCGGCCACCTGCCCACTGCTTTGGGGAGTGAGTTCTGCCGAGTCTTCCCGGCCCAGCTGTGCCCTTGGGTGGGGGCCAGGCACGTGCCTGGGTTGCTATTAGTCTCCCAGGCCCCCCACTTGCTTTGTGCCTCAGTGCTCAGCCCAGTGCTCCCGTTCCTCACGCGAGCACTCAGCTGCTGAAAAGCCTGTGTGCTGGCAGCTCAGCCTGCAGCCACCCCCGCTGCAGGAGCCACAGCCATTTTCCTTTGTTCTGCCATCTCCGGGCTCTTGAATCTCAGGCTGGCAGTGGGCAGCAGGCAGCCAGCACACAGCGCTGGTGGGGTGGAAACCCTTGTGACATGAATCTGCCCACTGAGCCAAAGGCATGGCAGCCCCCTGGCTGCACCCCTAATTCCTCTGGCTGTACCCCTATCTCCCAGCCATGCTGAGAGAAGCACAGAGTATCCCCTCTTACTGGATCAGAAAGATAGTGACACCTACAGTGGGAACAGAGAGAGGTCTCACCTGTTTTGGGCCACTGAGGTGCACACTAAAGAGAGAGAGAGTTAGCCTCCGGGTCTTTGGCAGAAAAAGCCACTCTCAGGCACAAAGGATGCTCGTTCTTAATCTCCTGGTCTTTGTTGAAAACAGAGGCAGGATTGGTTAAGAATATTTTTTATTTTGGTCCTTATGGTTGTGAGGACCTTTCTCTAACTGAGGGGAACTGTACCCTGCTTCTTCACATCTGAATCTCTCCCTTCTCTCCCCCACCACTTTTTGGTGGGCAAAATGAGCATTCTCTTTTGGGGTACAATTTCAGCTATGTGTGGGGTTGCAGGCGGGGTGAAGGCCACTCTCACCCGCTGTCTGACTTCTCTATCTGAGGTGTGCCCGCCCCAACCCATACTGTCTCCTTTCTAAACCACAGACAGAATCTGTAAGGCACCTGCCTTTGAAATAGAGTTGTTTTGTATAGAACTCATAACTCCCACTAGTTTTCATGTGTTTAGCATTATAGCTTACCCTTTCAAAACCCATCCTGGCTGTCTTATTTGATTCTCTTATCAGCCAAGTCTTACAAATCAAGAAGCAAGCCTCAGCCCCAGATAGGGTTGCACCTTGGAGTGTCCTCATTTTATTTTATTTTTTGACATGGAATCTTGCTCTGTTGCCCAGGCTGGAGTGTAGTGGCATGAATATGGTTTAGTGTAGCCCCCACCTCCCAGGCTCAAGTGATCCTCCTGCCTCAGCTTTCCCAGTAGCTGAAACCACAGGCACGCATCACCATGCGCGACTAATTTTTAAAAATTTTTCATAGAGACGAACTCTTGCAATGTTGCCTTGGCTGGTCTCGAACTCATCTTCTGGGTTCAAGCTGTCCGTCTGCCTCGGACTCCCAAAGTGCTAGGATTACAGGTGTGAGCCACAGCACCCAGCCCTCATTTTAACAAATGTTGTAGCACCTACAAGACTCAAAGTAAAAAGAGCTGGTGCTCATCGTGAAAGGCATTGAAACACCCCCACTTTGGTGGGGGGTGGGGTATGTTAACAGAAAAACCAAAGTCTCTAAAATATTTTAAAGAGGTTTATTCCAATCCAGTGAGTGTCTGCGTCCTGGGAAAAGCACGGTCTCAAGAGGTGTGGGGAAAGGGTGCTTGAGGCCGTTGGATTACGGTTTTGTTTTATACATTTTAAGGAGGCAAAAGTTACAGGCAAAGGCATAAGTCAGTACATGGAAGATATGCATTGTTTAAGCCCAGAAGGGTGGGATATCATGAAACGGGCTTACAGGTCATAGGTGGGTTCGGAGATTCTTTAATTTGTAATTCGTTAAAGGAGTAAAGCTTTGTCCAAAAATTTAGAGTCAGCAGAAAGGACTGGTAAGATAAGGAAGTCCGTTAACCAATACACTGGGTTAGAGCTGTGGGGTGAGTGACTTAACCCTTGTCTGGCATGGCCTTCAGTCCTCTTTATATTTCGGTATCTTATTGTCACAAAGAGTCTTGTTTCTTAGTCTTATAATCTCTATTTTAATATTAATGATGGTCAGTTTTTGTGTCTAAATCCCAAAAGGGAGGAGGTATGTAATGAGGCCTTTCCAACCTCCTCCTTGTTGTGGCCAAGAGCTGTTTTTCAGGTTTCTCTGGGGTCCTCGTGGCCAAGAGGGTCTGTTTAGTTGGTTATGGGGCTTAGAATTTTATTTTTAGTTTACAGGTTGTTGGACCCAAACAAGACTGGGAAAGTCACCATCGAGGCAGCTCAGTATTCTTTCTGGGAAAAACACAATGGATGTAGAGGCTGGGATTTGAATTCGGGCTTACTGGGTGACCTTGGTGGGTCACTTCCTGGGGTGTAGATTCTTACTAGAAAATGGAAGTGTTGCTCAGAGGAACTTTGGGAACATTTTAGCTGTAACCCTTGGAGTTCTATTAATCTAACTCCAAAATGGTTCTATTAATCTAACTCCACTACCTGGAATCTCTCTTGCCAACTCAGGATCCTTTGGAAGAAAATGTCATCAGATGGAATTAACAAAGAGCCCCTCTTTTCCTGGGCATTTCTTCCTCAGGTTCTTGAGGGGTGGTGATGATCACCTCAAAAGATGCCTGTAGTTTTCAAGTGGAAACCGAGCCACCCTGAGCCCAAACACACACTCCCAGTGTTCAGGCGCTGAGTGTGGCCCCTGGAGTTCACTGATGAGTAGTCTTACCTTGGACCTCGCCTTGGCTTTTCTTGGAAATGGCACATTACTTTTGTTTATTAGTGTAGCCCCTCTGTTGTGAAGTGGAATCCAGGGAGAGGGAAGTAAAGCTTTTAATTTTACCTCTTGCCAAAGTGAGGCCAAGCTCTTAAATGTAAAAACAAACTTGTTAAAAGTAAAAATGAAAACAATATCCCCATTCCTCTTCTTTGGGGGTGGAGACTGTGTTTAAATTTTGCCTCTATTTTGTCAACAGGTTCTAGGAGACAAAATGTTCTTTTCCTGGTGACCTTTCAGGCTGGGTTTCTGCCCTTTATGTGCCTTTCCTGGCCCAGCCTCCATCCTCTGGGCCCGCCCACCCAAACCAGCACTGCCTACCAGGCCCCCCTGTGCCTGTTGCCCGTCTGACTTCCTCCCATTGTCTTCGGGGCCAGCCTGTGTCACTGCTCTAGGCTGTGTTTCTGCCGGCACGAACACAGGAGGGCGGTGGTCTTGGAAGAGGCAGGTCTCTATCATTTGGTTAGAGTAGCTTTTACAGCTGAGAAATGGGAATAAAAATAATCTGTGAGGATCCATTGGGATGCAACAAAATCCCAAACAAATCCCAAAATTAAAGCATTCCTCCAGGGAAGCTGATTGCATCCTTGTAAATCAGGAACAATAAAGATGGGTGGCTTTCTTCCCATGACTTGCTTTAATGGTTGTTTTCCTTCTGTGTGTCAGCGTTACATCCTTACTATTCAAAGTGCCATCCACAGACCTGCTGATGGGCAGCATGAGCATCACCTGGGAGCTTGCTGCGCTGTAGAATCTTGAGGGGTCTCCATCCAGATCAGCTGAATCAGAGTTTGCATTGTTAACAAGGTAACCCAAGTGATTTGAATGCTTTTTTAAATTTTTTTTTTTTTTTTTTTGTGAGATAGGGTCTGACTGTGCGCTCAGTGGTACAATTAAGGCTCACTACACCCTTTATCTCCTGGGTTCAAGCGATCTGCCAAAGTGCTGGGATTACAGGCCCAAGCCACCATGCCCGGCCTGAATGCACTTTCATGTTTGAGAAGCACAGCCTCAGCCAGCCACACTGTCATGCTTGCCCCTTCGCTTTGTTAGCCTGTTTCATGGTTTTGCAGTCTTTACCCACTTGCTTTCCTGTTTAAAGTTGTCGACTTTAAACAGGTTTGGCAGCCCCAGCTCTCAGTCCTTCCCCTCTGGGTGTGCAGTGCACAGCAGTTATTCCTCGGTGCCGGGGATGTCTTGGAAATGGAGCTAGTTCGAGAAAGCCCCCTTAGCCCAGAGCCCTGCTGGTGAGGTTATCTTTGGGGCATGGGGGTGGGGGTAGGGATGGGGGGGTAACTGGAGCCCTCCTGGGTGAAAGGGCAGCCCTAAGCCTCCCTGGCCATCTGGTGCCACTTGCCCTGCCCTGTTCCAGCTGGAGAACAGGTTCAGAATCAGGTTGTAAATATTGTTTGCTTTTGGAAGAAACACAAAGCATTTTCTATAAAGATGTTTTGGTGTATGTTGAAGATAAATAAATAGTCCAGAAGAGGGACTGTAAATTTGTATTTTGTAGTAGTTTTGCAGCAGAAAACAGTTTGAGGTGCTCTCCTGATTTCACTTTACGCCTGCACATCCCCTGCATTCTGGCGAAGGTTGGGGCTTTGTGGGGAAGAGCTTGCTTCCCTGGGAATGAGACCCTGACTCTCCTGCTCAGCTACCCAAGGGCTCCCCTGCATTTCTGGCTCTGTTTTAGGGGATGATCTGCTTTCTCCTGACTCTTGATTTCCTCTCAGCCTTTTCCAGCAGTTTCTCACCATTGATTTGCAGTTTAAAAAATTCTGCCGCCTCTTCCTCCTCTCTTTTGACATTCACAAGGACACACTTAGTTTTATTTTTCCCCACTGGGCTTCACTTTTCATGGCTTCTTTGGAAAGGATTTTTGTTTGTTTTGTTTTAGCTCTGTAAATCTTTTTCCCCCAGGCTGGGGGAGCCAGGCCCTGGGGTGGGCTGGAAAGTGTCCCACCCTAGACTCAGAAGTTTTCCAGATTGCCGTCCTTTGAGGTGGGTTTTTTTTGTCTTAAAACACAGTACAGTTGTCCCTTGGTGTCCTGTCTCCAAGGGAGATTGGTTTTAGCCCCAGCACTTAGTAGTGTTTGCATATAACCTATGTACTTCCTCCCATATACTTTAAATCATCTCTAGATTACTTATAATAACTAATACAATGTAAATGCTATGTAAGTATTATATAATTTAAAGCATTTGTAATTTTTTTTTCTTTTTGAGACAGAGTCTTGCTCTGTTGCCCAGGCTGGAGAGCAATGGTGCGTTCTCAGCTCACTGAAATCTCCGCCTCCCAGATTCAAGCAATTCTCCTGTCTCAGCCTCCTGAGTAGCTGAGACTACAGGTGTGCGCCACCAGGCCTGCTAATTTTTCTATTTTTGTTAGAGACTGGGTTTCACCATATTGGTCAGGCTGGTCTTGAACTTCTGACCTCAGGTGATCCACCTGCCTCCCAAAGTGTTGGGATTACAGGTGTGAACCGCTGCGCCCAGCCTTTCCTGAATACTTTTGATCCTGGTTGCTTGAATCTGAGGATGTGGAACCTGTGGATATATGGAAGACTGACAGTATATTCTAGCTGACTGTGCAATTTTGTATAAAAAGATTTTTAAGCATCTTACAGCCATAATCTTTATGCCTTTCAGGCGTGGAAACATAGAGAATGAGGAGTAAATATAATTCTAAACTCTCTTATGTAGTTTCTTTGTGACCTGTACAAAGAGAACACTTCAAATCTACATTAGGCATGTAGGTCAAATCCCTGCAGCCTACTGGAGCAGCTCCTGTAACAGCCAGCTTTTAAAGACCCAGTTATTGGAGCAAAGTTTGTTTCTCCCCAAGAATGGGCCACTCATCACTTGGAACATCTATGGTGTTCAGGAGTGGCTCCCACCCCAATGGTGTCAGCCCTGCAAGGATGACCATGCTGGTTTTGTCTTGGTATCATCTGCAGGGCCCAGCCTGGAGCTGGGGATGCACTGAAGGCTCTGTTAATAATCTTCATTGGAGGGTCAGTCTCGGGGTGAAACAGTTGCCTGCTGCCAGGTCGGGTTGCAGTGTGTCCCTCCCTATCTTTAGGCACAGCTCTCGATCCCAAACTGGGGAGCTTCTAGATGTGCTGCCCTCATCTAGTACAAATTTAAACTAGCTGCTTTAGGGAGCATTTCCTGACCAGCTTGCCACCACCACCACCTCCTTCTCTCTGCCCTCCAGCACCTACTTGACTGCACTTAGTGAAGGGAGTCATGTTCTGAGTTCCCTGAGTCAGGCACAGGTCCCACTCTGAGTTGGTGTTTGTCTCCACGGCCTCATTCTCGGTGTCTTACATGCAGCAGTGCCCTGAACATGTAGAAACAAGTCTTTAGGTGTTTGTCTCCCACAGCAAAAGTCTTTTCACCCCATGGGCTTGGCAGGCGAGCCTGTGCACTGATGGATTGCTGGGTGGTTTGCTTCAACCTTGCTGATCTAGGGAGGCCACAGGGCCCAGCCCAGTCCTCCTGAGGTCTGGAGGCACAGCACCTTGGACTCCCTGGGTTCTTGTTCACATTGGGAATACTAGTGTAGACTGGGCCCAGACTCTCCACGTTTGTTTGCAACTAGCTGAGGAAGAGGCTCTGATGTGCTCTTACCAGGGGCATATAAAAGGATTCTGTGTATAGACATTTCATGTAGACTTAGATTTTCAGAAACAGGCCTGTCATGATGATCAGGGTATGGGTATAGGACACGTGCACTATGCCTGCTTTGGCCTAGCATCCTCCCTTGAGTGGGCAGCTTCACCTTCAATGGCAGAGGGAAGTAGGTTGGGACATCAACTTGGAAGTCAAGGTGCCAGGCCTCCTTTTGCCTAGCCATTTGAGAAGTGGGGGTGGGGTGGGTAGCAGGTGTGGGGTGAGTGGCAGGTGTGGGTGACCAGGCCCTGCCTCACCTAGGTGGGCAGGTGTTGCCCTGAGGCTGCTGGTGCAGTTGAATGAGCTGCCTGATGAATCATTCTGAAAATCTCTCATGGGTGCTGGGCGTGGTGGCTCATGCCTGTGATCCTAGCACTTTGGGAGCCCGAGGCAGTAGGATGGCTTAAGCAGGAGTTTGAGACCAGCCTGGGCAACATAGGGAGACCCCATCTCCCTATGTAGCTGGGACTGCAGGTGTGCACTGAGGTAGGAGGATCACTTGAGCCCAGGAGGTCAAGGCTGCAGTGAGCTGTGACGGTGCCACTGCACTCCAGCCTGGGTCACAGAGTGAGGCCCTGTCTCAAAAACGTAAAAGTGAAAATCTCCAATGGGGCCCAAGGCCTGAATGTTTTGTTTGCTTTTTTTTTGTTCCTCCAAGAAGGACCACAAACTCTATGTTTCAGTTACTTGAAGCCAGTTATTTTGTAGTATCTCCCTTAATTTAAGTTTGTTTGTTGTTTCCTCATGGTTAGCTGCAAGTTTTGCAGTTTTGTAAGGAATACTGCGGAAATGGTGAGTTCTAGGTGCATCCCCTTGGGAGGCACATGATGTGGGTCTGAGTCATTACCGGTGATATTGACAATGATCGCTTGCTTATGGTGATGTCTGCTGGGTTTCTCCCCTCTAAGTTACTATTTTGTTCTTTGTAAGTGTCCTGTGGGGAGATACTTTGAGATTATGCAAATACAGTATGCTATTTCACATCAAACTCATGACTGGTTTTAGGACCCATTGCAGATTCTTGGCACAGTCGGTTGTTTCTGTCATGGGTGTTGAATGCGATGATTTAATTCCATAATTCCTTCTACATTTATCATTTAACTATACAGAACTGCTGTAGCTATGTATCATTGTGCTACACATAACTTTTCCTTCTTTCCTGTTTATTTATCTCTGTGTGTGTATTAGAATGGGCTCATGAATTCTTATTTTATTCAATGAGTTAAAATCCGTTGTTATTATTGTTTATTTTGCCGCTCAGATTGTTCCAGATTTGGCCAGTGGGGGCTTTTTCAAGCTGCTGTGAATGACAGCTCTTCAAAACATGCATTTCCAAGTCTATCACAGTTCTGTTGAACTAGTTGCCATATGATTCTGGAGGCAGCTCCTGAGCCGTTCTGCTGTCCTGTGGAGCATGGCGTCAGTCACAGTAGGCCCATGGTTTTTAGTGTGCACCTTGTGAAGCCTTCCTTTCCCCCAGCCACCTGAAGATAAAAGTGTCCTGCTCTGCCTGCTTCCATGTTGGGTTTCTGGGTCAGAGTTTCTTTGAACAAAGCCTCCTGTAGCTTAAAAAATAATAAAAATAGTAAGCTTGGAAGTCACTGGACTAGGTGACCTCCATTCCAGGCCCAGTGCTTCTCCCACTGAGGACTCCCCTGACTCAAATCCACCCACTCTGCTGCTTTCCTGATGACAGCACTGAGGTAGACAGAGGCCTCCTCTCACCAGGTTAATGAGGAGGCCCCTCGGTGTCCTGAAACTTGGCAGGTTTTGGGTTGTGAGTTTTTGGTGGTGGAAATTCACAGTGTTTCAGTCACTAAGATCAGGGTTTTTACAGGATGCCAGGCACTGAGACCCTCAGACCCTTTGGAGAGCCTGGTGGAGCTCAGAGCTGGGGCCCAGCCTCTCCTGCACCTGCATGTGGAGGCCATCCAGGGCTGGCGGTCAGGGGCTTGATGGCCTTGGAAGCTGGGGGCCCACCTTCCCCACACTGTGCCAGGGCAGTGTTTGTCACCCTGTGATAAAGGAGGGGATCCAGCCCCCCTGACGTTGTGCAGCTGTGTAGTGACTTCCCACAGTAAAGAGTCAAACTTCTTCACTCCAGTGAGCGGTTGCTGCCACCATGATGGGTTTTTTTTTTTTTTTTAAATTAAAGTTTTTTTTTTTCTTTTTTGTTGGAAACCACAGGTTCACATGCCACGGTGTCTGATTTTGCAGTGTTTCTGGTGGCCCCTGGATTTGGCGTTTGGGTTAATGAGGGAATGGGTCAGGGATGTGCATGGACAGTTCTGGCTCTAAGGGGTGAGTCAGAGAGAGCCGAGCCCCTCCTTCCATCCTCAGAGGGTGAGATTGCTGTGGGCAGCTGAGCAGCCTGCCCTGGCCTGCCTTAGTGATTCTCTCTCCTACTGGGGCCCATTCCCTTTCATATTCGCCTGCCCCCTCCTAGGCTTCTCTCCCTGGGCCTGCCTGTTCCTTTGGCCTGTGAATGTTCCTCAGCACCTAGTGGGCTCTAGAGACCCCCTTCTCAGATGGTAGGAATGTCTAGGCCCCAGGTGCTACTAGAGGTGCAGCAGAAACTCCGCCTTCCTTGGGGGATGTGGCTGCCCTTCCTTGGGATGGGCCTGTGATCAGGTCAGAGGCCAGTTCTGGGAGCCTCAAAGGCCAGGTGGTGTTGAAGGATTGGCTTCGGAGAATGAGAGGGAAGGAGAGATAGTAAGGATAATTTGGGGGCATGGGGTGTATGTAGCTCAGGATATGGGTGGTGGGTGTTGTCATTGTCACTTGGGTCCTTAGGAAAAAGAGGGGCCAGAGGAGGGGTGGGGTTGAAGGTAGAGAGCCAGGTAAGAGACCTTCAGACCTTCCCTGAGAGGTCATGAGGAACTGACCTGTGCCCTCAGGACGGGAGGGGAGGGGAGTGAGGGGAGGGGAGGTATTGGAGCGTGAGGAGTTTAGGAAAGCTCCTGAGTGTCTGGGTGGGTGAAGGCTGAGGGATTCTGGGTGGGGCCCCTTGGTCCATGCTTTGTCTGGTATTTGTGCCTGGTGCTTGTGTGGAAAGATGCAAATCTCTGGAACCATCAGCAGAGTAGTGTTGGAGGGTTGTGAGGCATGTGATTATCCCATAGGAGGGGCAAACACTCCAGGGACATCACTCTCAGGAAGCCTGGGGAGCTCGCAGTGCCTTTGTGCAGGGTCAGGCCACATGGTTTGAGCCTGGCCTTCCCAAATCTCAGTTCACTTTTCTCCACTGTCATGTCATCCGGCTTCCTTCCCTTGGGTTTTCTCTCCCCTCTTCCTCCCTCATGACCCCTTATTAGTATATAAAAAATGAGACTCTTGTCTCAGAGCTTCCCAAATTTTCATCTTATTCAGGATCTTAGTGAAATGCAGATTGAAGGGAATTGAGATTCCACATTTCCAGCAAGCTCCTGAAATGGGCATCGTCCAAACAGGGCCAGGCAGAATCGGGGGATGCTAAAGAACTGGAGGTAGAGGACACCCAGTTGGAGGGGTGCAGGCGGCCATCCTCCCCCTCTGAAGGTCCCTGTGGGAGGAGCCAAGGGCCTGACTTCTTTGGGTGTGGGGCTGCCAAGCACTGGCTGGAGTTTAATCTGGATCCAAGGCTCACAAACAGCTGGTTCTTAAGGGAGTGTCAGTGTTGCAGTGATGTTTGATAGAGCTAATCTGGCAATAGGACAGATAATGAGCTTTTCTGTAAATCTAAAAGTTTTGGGCTGAGCATGATGGCTTATGCCTATAATCCCAGCACTTTGGGAGACTGCAGAGGGAGGATCTCTTGAGCCAGGGGTTTGAGATTAGCCTGGGCAACATAGTGAAACCCTATTTCTACAAAAAATTAAAAAATTAACTTCGTGTGGTGGTACACACCTGTGGTCCCAGCTACTTGGGAGGCTGAGGTAGGAGGACCATGTGAAGCTGGGAGTTTAAGATCCTGTCTCTAAAAAGAGAAAAAAAGTTTTAAGTTAAAGGTCCACTCTGTTCTGAGTTGATGTTCTTTTTCTGCCCCCTTTCCCCATCCTTTTTTTTGTTGTTGAGACAGAGTCTCGCTCTGTTGCCCAGGCTGGAGTGCAGTGGCGCGATCTTGGCTCACTGCAACTTCCGCCTCCTGGGTTCAAGCAGTTCTCTGCCTCAGCCTCCCAAGTAGCTAGGATTATAGGCGCCTGCCACCACACCCAGCTAATTTTTGTATTTTTAGTAGAGGCAGGGTTTCACCATCTTGGCCAGGCCAGTCTTGGACTCCTGACTTTGTGATCCACCTGCCTCGGCCTCCCAGAGTGCTGGGATTACAGGCATGAGCCGTGGTGCCCGGCCTCCCCATCCTTTTTATACAGTCATCCCTCCACTGTCCAAGGGGGTTTGGTTCCAGGACATACCCCCTCCATTATGCCAAAATCCATAGATGCTCAAGTCCCTAATATAAAATGGTGTAGTATTTGCATATAACCTTCACACATTTTTCCCTAAACTTTGAACCATCTCCAGATTACATAAAAATATCTAATACAATGTAAAGGCTGGCTGGGTGCGGGGGCTCACGCTTATAATACAAGCATGTTGGGAGGCTGAGGCAGGCGAATTGCTTGAGCCCAGGAGTTCGAGTCCAGCCTGGGCAACATAGTGAGACCCTGTCTCTTAAAAAAAATTTAAAAATCAGTTGGGCTTGGTAACACACTCCTGTAGTCCCAGCTACTTGAGAGGCTGAGGCAGGATTGCTTGAGCCTGGGAGGTCAAGGCTGCAGTGAGCCCAGTTTGCGCCATTGCACTTGAGCCTAGGCGACAGAGCAAGACCCTGTCTCAAAAACAAAAGTAAATGCTGTGAAAATAGTTGTTTTACTGTTTTTTTTTTTTTTTTTTTTTTTTGAGACGGAGTCTTGCTCTGTCACCCAGGCTGGAATGCAGTGGCGAGATCTCTGCTCACTGCAAGCTCCGCCTCCCGGGTTCACGCCATTCTCCTGTCTCAGCCTCCCGAGTAGCTGGGAATACAGGCACCCGCTACCACACCCGGCTAATTTTTTGTATTTTTAGTAGAGATGGGGTTTTACCATGTTAGCCAAGATGGTCTCGATATCCTGACCTCGTGATCTGCCCGCCTCGGCCTCCCAAAGTGCTGGGATTACAGGAGTTTTACTGTATTTTTTACTTGTATCATTTTTTGTTTTGTTTTGTTTTTTTTTATATTTTTCAAATATTTTTCATTCCCAGTTGGCTGAATCCATGGATACAGAACTGTGGTTGCAGAAGGCTGACTGTATTAAATCTCACAATTTCTGTAGGTCAGAGGTCCAGGCCCAGCATAGCTCAACTTATTCCCTCCTTAGGGTCTCACAAAGCCCAAATCAAATTGTTGGCAGGGCTGTGCTTCTCTCTGGAGGCTCTGGGAAGAATCCACTTCTAGGCTCATTCAGGTTTTCAGCAGAGTGCAGTTTCTTGCTACATGTAGAACTGAGTCCTTGCTTACTGTCAGCCAGGGCTACTCTTAGCCCTTAGAGTCCCTCACTGGTCCTCGCATGTGGCCCCTGTACTCAGATCCAGCAACAGTGCATCAAATCCTGCTGCTGCTTCTCTGCCTTCCTCTTCTGCCCTCAACTGGGAGGAAGCTCTGCTTTTAAGGGCTCATGTAATTACATTGGATAGCTCAGATGATCCCCCTATGTTAAGATCAGTTGATTAGTAACCTTAATTACATGTGCCAAGTCACTTTTGCCCTTTCTTTTATGTAATAATGGACTATACTTCCTGATTTTTTCACTTTGCTAAATAAAAAGGTGGCAATTAAAAATACTTTGAAATGTTCCTAGAGGTCTTCTGGGTAAAAAATAGTGGTTTGAGTAGACACATGTAATTTTGCTTTCTCCTAAACCCCCACATAAGATAAAGGGAGTTGTAAAAAAGAAATCAATGCATGAGGACAGGGAGAATGAGAAAGAAAACAACAGCAAGAAAAATTTTGCAAGCAAAGAGTACATGAATGATTCAATTTAAAATGTAGGAGTGGATGGCATGAGATTTTTTTGTGGGGGGAGGGGAACGTGGGCATCAGAGGTTGCTGAGTACAAGAATAGTTTGAAAGCAGCTAATGCAGTTACATCCTTCCATCCCTTCCTTTCCTTCCACCGTGATGCTGGGTGATGGCCTCCGACTTTAGCTGCATGTTGCACATTTCTGCAGAAGGAAAAACCAAGGGCCCAGGAGCCTCCAGGTATTCTTGGGAGTTAATATAGAGACCACCTCCATTCTCTAGTCTTCTAACCCCTTTTAGCTTCTAGAACATTGACAGCCAGGCCCTTATAGATGAAAAGGGGCCTCACTGTGGAGTCTAACCAGCCTAAGATGGGAAAAAAATACAAATGATGCTGACAACAGGGATTTCCCAGCAAATGGCCCAACCAGATCATCCTAGACAGAAACTTAGCCGCCCAAGGACTCAGAGCTTCCAGCTGGTTCCTGAGTCATTCACTCTTAGTCATGCGGACTGCCAGGGATTACTAGATGGCTAAAGAAAGTGCCTAATATGAAGGAAAGCAAAACAAATGAAAAAAAGCAATTTGAAAGGAAGTCTATTTAGAGAAAAGAACATTTTGAAAAAAATTCTTGTATCCATGAAATAAGAACAGGATACAATAAAAAGGAACAGTTAGAAAACAAAGTTATCAGAAAATTTTTCAAAAATAAGAGCAGAGCAAAGATATCAGTAGTAGTATTAGAAAATAAAGTTCAGGGAGTCTTTCAGAAAATAGAGCAAACAGATGAGGAGATGAATAATAAATAAGGCAGAAAAGGTAAGAAAATTAAAGCATCAGCCAGGCTTCCCACATCAATTGATAGGAGCTAACCGAAAGGGAAAACAGAGAAGAAGGCAAGTGTCAAAATCATTGAGGAAAATATTGCCTGAAATAGGTTATTAGCTTCTCTATGGAGGGGCCTGTGGAATATTGAGCCAAGTAGTTGAAGGCAGACCCAGACTAGTACCCTCAGATGTCAATATGCTTGGAAGAAGGGGATGATGCTACAAGTTACACAGAGAAAGAAACAGGTCAAATACAGAGATCAGAAATCTGAGTGGTTTCGGGCTTCTCAATACATCTGAATATAGGAGGTGGGGGAGTGATGCCTTCATCATGCTCAATGAAATGGATCCCCAGCTTAGAACTCTGCACACAGCCAAACTCATTCAAGAGTGAAGGTATCCTGTAATCCCAGCACTTTGGGAGGCCGAGGCAGGCGGATCACTTGAGACCAGGAGGTCGAGACCAGCCTGGCCAACATGGCAAAACCCTGTCTCCATTAAGAATATAAAAATTCCACAATGGTTGAACTAGTTTACAGTCCCACCAACAGTGTAAAAGTGTTCCTATTTCTCCACATCCTCTCCAGCACCTGTTGTTTCCTGACTTTTTAATGATTGCCATTCTAACTGGTGTGAGATGGTATCTCATTGTGGTTTTGATTTGCATTTCTCTGATGGCCAGTGATGGTGAGCATTTTTCCATGTGTTTTTTGGCTACATAAATGTCTTCTTTTGAGAAGTGTCTGTTCATGTCCTTGGCCCACTTTTTGATGGGGTTGTTTGTTTTTTTCTTGTAAATTTGTTTGAGTTCATTGCAGATTCTGGATATTAGCCCTTTGTCAGATGAGTAGGTTGCGAAAATTTTCTCCCATTTTGTAGGTTGCCTGTTCACTCTGATGGTAGTTTCTTTTGCTGTGCAGAAGCTCTTTAGTTTAATTAGATCCCATTTGTCAATTTTGGCTTTTGTTGCCATTGCTTTTGGTGTTTTAGACATGAAGTCCTTGCCCATGCCTATGTCCTGAATGGTAATGCCTAGGTTTTCTTCTAGGGTTTTTATGGTTTTAGGTCTAACGTTTAAGTCTTTAACCCATCTTGAACTAATTTTTGTATAAAGTGCAAGGAAGGGATCCAGTTTCAGCTTTCTACATATGGCTAGCCAGTTTTCCCAGCACCATTTATTAAATAGGGAATCCTTTCCCCATTGCTTGTTTTTCTCAGGTTTGTCAAAGATCAGATAGTTGTAGATATGTGGCGTTATTTCTGAGGCCTCTGTTCTGTTCCATTGGTCTATATCTCTGTTTTGGTGCCAGTACCATGCTGTTTTGGTTACTGTAGCCTTGTAGTATAGTTTGAAGTCAGGTAGCGTGATGCCTCCAGCTTTGTTCTTTTGGCTTAGGATTGACTTGGCGATGCGGGCTCTTTTTTGGTTCCATATGGACTTTAAAGTGGTTTTTTCCAATTCTGTGAAGAAAGTCATTGGTAGCTTGATGGGGATGGCATTGAATCTATAAATTACCTTGGGCAGTATGGCCATTTTCATGATATTGATTCTTCCTACCCATGAGCATGGAATGTTCTTCCATTTGTTTGTATCCTCTTTTATTTCATTGAGCAGTGGTTTGTAGTTCTCCTTGAAGAGGTCCTTCACATCCCTTGTAAGTTGGATTCCTAGGTATTTTCTTCTCTTTGAAGCAATTGTGAATGGGAGTTCACTCATGATTTGGCTCTCTGTTTGTCTGTTATTGGCGTCTAAGAATGCTTGTGATTTTTGTACATTGATTTTGTATCCTGAGACTTTGCTGAAGTTGCTTATCAGCTTAAGGAGCTTTTGGGCTGAGACAATGGGGTTTTCTAGATATACAATCATGTCATCTGCAAACAGGGACAATTTGACTTCCTCTTTTCCTAATTGAATACCCTTTATTTCCTTCTCCTGCCTAATTGCCCTGGCCAGAACTTCCAACACTATGTTGAACAGGAGTGGTGAGAGAGGGCATCCCAGTCAGTGTGGCGATTCCTCAGAGATCTAGAACTAGAAATACCATTTGACTCAGCCATCCCATTACTGGGTATATACCCAAAGGTCTATAAATCATGCTGCTATAAAGACACATGCACACGTATGTTTATTACGGCACTATTCACAATAGCAAAGACTCGGAACCAACCCAAATGTCCAACAGTGATAGACTGGATTAAGAAAATGTGGCACATATACACCATGGAATACTATGCAGCCATAAAAAATGATGAGTTCATGTCCTTTGTAGGGACATGGATGAAATTGGAAATCATCATTCTCAGTAAACTGTCGCAAGAACAAAAAACCAAACACCGTATATTCTCACTCATAGGTGGGATTTGAACAAGGAGAACACATGGACACAGGAAGGGGAACGTCACACTCTGGGGACTGTTGTGCGGTGGGGGGAGGAGGGAGGGATAACTTTAGGAGATACACCTAATGCTAAATGACGAGTTAATGGGTGCAGCACACCAGCATGGCACATGTATACATACGTAACTAACCTGCACATTGTGCACATGTACCCTAAAACTTAAAGTATAATAATAATAAAATAAAAGAATATAAAAATTAGCTGGGCGTGGTGGTGCATGCCTGTATCCTAGCTACTCCAGAGGCTGAGGCAGGAGAATCTCTGGAACCCGGAAGGCAGAGTTTGCAGTGAGCTGAGGTTGCGCCAGGGCTCTCCAGCCAGGGTGAAGGAGTGAGACTCTGTTTCAAAAAAAAAGAGTGAAGGTAGAAAAAAAATGTTTCAGACATACTGGATGTGAAAAACTTGCCTTTCACATTGAAGAAACTCGTGAAGGTGAACAAAGACTGGATCTTCTTTAGGGTGTATCCCAAAAGATGTAAAGGGAATTCTGTGCACTGGTCCAGATGGAAGGATCTCCGAAGGCCCCAGGAGGATTTCTTTTTGAAGAAGAAATAGAAATAAAACATCAGATGTGAAAAAACTCAGGGTAGATTTAGACAACTGACATCAAATTTTCGGTTAAATATTGATAAATTCATAGAAAATTAAGCAAACAAAACAAGAAGTTGTACGGGAAAAGAAATGAAATCATGTGTTATGTTGCTCACTCTGATAGCTCACATGGTCATAATAAGGTCAACTATGAAAATTACTCCAGCCAGCACTGCAGTTTAATTAGTGGAGAGATTGGAAAGGACAAGCATGAGGGGTGGCTTGCAGGGAGAGGGATTTATGGGGAGTAAAGGGTTAAGTCCTCCTCTTCCAAGGTAGAAAGCAGATGCATAATGCGTAAAACTGAAAAGCTGGGGAATTGTAATACAAAATGGCGCGATCTCGGCTCACCGTAACCTCCGCCTCCTGGGTTCAAGCGATTCTCCTGCCTCTGCCTCCCAATTAACTGGGATTACAGGCATGGGCCACTGCGCCTGGCTAATTTTTTTTTTGAGACTGAGTCTCGCTCTGTCGCTCACTGCAAGCTCTGCCTCCTGGGTTCATGCCATTCTCCTGCCTCAGCCTCCCGAGTAGCTGGGACTACAGGCACCTGCCACCATGCCCGGCTAATTGTTTGTATTTTTAGTAGAGATGGGGTTTTACCATGTTAGCCAGGATGGTCTCGATCTCCTGACCTCGTGATCCTCCCACCTCGGCCTTGCAAAGTGCTGGGATTACAGGCGTGAGCCACTGCGCTCAGCCTACATGCAGACAGTTCTAAGAGATATTTGGGTGTAAACATCAAGAGTCAGCTAGAAGTTGGAAGTGTCACCTAGAAAGGGAAAACCTGACTTAAGGGCTGGGATCTGCTGTTTTCTCAACATGGTTTTTACAGTAGTTGATTCTTAGATTATGTGCAGTTATGATTTTGAAAAATGAATAGAAAAAAGCAAATCTACAATGCACGGCATGTGATAAGGGGACATATTTCACAAAACTGATTTTTATTTTTTTGAGATGGAGTCTCGCTCTGTGGCTCAGGCTGGAGTGCACTGGCGCAATCTCAGCTCACTGCAACCTCTGCTTCCCAGGTTCAAGCAATTCTCCTGCCTCAACCTCCCGAGTAGCTGGGATTACAGGCGCCCGCCACCACGCCTGGCTAATTTTTTGTATTTTTAGTAGAGACGGGGTTTCGCCATGTTGACCAGGCTGGTCTCAAACTCCTGACCTCAAGTGATCCACCTGCCTCAGCCTCCCAGAGTGCTGTGATTATAGGCATGAACCACTGTGCCCGGCCTCCACAAAACTCATTTTAGTTGTGCATGTGAGTGTGCGTGTGCACTGGATTGACTTTTGTTAAATGTATTTCTTACTATGGGTTGTGATAAGATTTGAAAACCCTTGTTTAGTGGTTTCTCATTGTCAGTTCACTTTTCTTTTCCTTTTTTTTTTTTTTTTTTTTGAGACGGAGTTTCGCTCTTGTTGCCCAGGCTGGAGTGCAATGGCACGATCTCGGCTCACTGCAACCCCCGCCTCTCTGGTTCAAGTGATTCTCCTGCCTCAGCTTCCCGAGTAGCTGGTATTACAGGCGTGAGCCACCACGCCTGGCTAATTTTGTATTTTTAGTAGAGATGGGGTTTCACCATGTTGGTCAGGCTGGTCTCAAACTCCTGACCTCAGGTGATCCACCTGTCTCAGCCTCCCAAAGTGCTGGGATTATAGGCGTGAGCCACTTTGCCCAGCCAGCCAGTTCACTTTTCACACTTATGAATTGTTGAGATATTTTACAGTTGAGAATGTGCTACTTTTTTAATTTAAAAAAGGGCAGGAGGGAGGAATATTAAAGGTGAGTACAACACTGAAGCCAAGGAGCCCTGTTTATGATGACTGCCAGCCTTATATATTGTAGCAAGCATTCTCCTTCCCAGCAGGGGCACCTCCAACCAGCAGCGGCCCCATTTTCATTTATAATACAAAGGTGGTAATGGTAAGTGTGATGCTGGAAACCTTTTTGGAAAATCACTTGTAAGTCCACCACCACCCCATGCAGCCATTTTCATGCTCTTAACATTCCACTTTGGCCTTTAAGCACATGCTTACAAATTGTCTCATAATTGCAAACCATGAGGTTCATGTTTCACTTAATGTGTATTCTTTTTCTGGAGGCAAATTCTTAGTCATTAGTTTATTGATTAAGGGTGTGACCTTTTTTTGGGTGGTAAATGTAACCATATTGCTACCAAATGGTAGTAACCGTTTCATCTGCTGCCAACAAGGAATAAATGTGTTTGCCACAATAGTGGTGGCAATTTTGTTAAATTAAAAAGTGTAAAGTAGGCCGGGTATGGTGGCTTATGCCTATAATCCCAGCACTTTGGGAGGCTGAGATGGGCAGATCACCCAAGGTCAGTAGTTCGAGATCAGCCTGGCCAACATGGTGAAACTCCTGTCTCTACTAAAAATACAAAAATTAGTTGGACATGGTGTCGGTCGCCTGTAATCTCAGCTACTCAGTAGGCTGAGGCAGGATAATCACTTGAACCCGGGAGGCGGAGGTTGCAGTGAGCCAAGATTGCACCATTGCACTCCAGCCTGGGCAACAAGAGCAAAACTCTTGTCTCAAAAAAAAAAAAAAAAAAAAAAAAAAAAAAAAAAAAAAAAGTGTAAAATAGGCCAGGCACGGTGACTCACGCCTGTAATCTCAGCACTTTGGAAGGCCAAGGTGGGCGGATTGCTTTGAGCTCAGGAGTTCAAAACCAGCCTGGGCAACATGATGAAACCCCGTTTGTACAAAAAATACAAAAATTAGCCAGGCCTGGTGGCATGCACCTGTGGTCCCAGCTACTCCAGAGGCTGAGGCTAGAGAATCACTTGAACCAGGGAGGCGGAGGTTGCAGTGAGCTGAGTGCGCCACTGCACTCCAGCTTGGGCAACAGAGCAGGACTTGTTTAAAAAAAAAAAAAGTGTAAAATAGTATATCTGGGTTGTCTTTAAGTTTTATTTCTAGTGACATTGAAAATTTTTCCTTTTTTTTAAATTTTTTTATTTTTTAAAGACCGGGTCTTGCTCTGTCACCCAGACTGGAGTGCAGTGGTGTCATCACTGTTCATCACAGCCTGGACCTCCCAGGCTCAAGCGATTATCCCGCCTCAGCCTCCCACGTAGCTGGGACTTCAGTCACCACACCCAGCTAATTTTTGTACTTTTTGTAGAGATGGTGTTTGGCCTTGTTGCACAGGCTTATTTTTCCATTTGTTACGTTATTCTTCCCTTTGTTATTCTTTCCTTTGTGTATAATGTTCATATCCTTTGTTCATTTGTGTACAACGGGGGTCTTTTTGAAGTATGGGTCTCTATAGGTTGCAGATATTTACTGTGTCATAATTTTTTCAGCTGCAGATAACATTTGTGTTTCCTTTTTTATTTTAATGTTACTTTTATTCATGGGGATTTTTTAGATTTGTTATCTGTTCAGGCTTGGTAGTCTTGTGCTTTGAATTGTTTTTTCCTGTTGCCTCAAAAGTTGAAGGTGGGTAAAATGGACTTGAAAACCCTGTTCTCTGGGTGTGGTGTGTGCATGTATGTGCATATGCCCTTTAAATCTGTAAGTTGTTATTTGCTTATTATTTAACTCCCCTCAAGTTGCTAACCAGTTATCTCACTACTGTTAAACAATTCTCCCTTTGCCCTGTTTTGAGAAGTTGGTATTTTGATAAACATGTGCCTCCTTCCTGCCACACTGATGCTTTATTTTCTATCACATTCTTAGAGTTGAGACAGTTTGAGATCCTAATTTTTTTTCTAGGCACACAAAATAGCTTTTGGAGATTCTTCTCTGCTGGAATGGTACCTAACATTTGTGAAAAGTTTACCCATCTCTACTTTTAGGAAGGTTCTTAGTCATGCGTGCGTGTGTGTGTGTAAGATAAAGAGTGTTGGTGTTCTTTGTGGATGCATCTGCTCATAGAGGGCTAACTTCTGCCTTCCTTCAGTATGATGTGGTTTAGCAAATGAGGTGAGATGCTAGGGACCATGGTCATTTTGGGAATCATTTTGGGTCAGATCTGGGTTCTAGTTTCAGCACTACTGCCTTTATCAGCCTTCCTGCATTTTTGTGTAAATGCCCTAGTAGCTCCGTTGGTGGCTCAGGAGCGCTCAGTCCTTTTTTCCTCCCTTGGGGTTCTGAAGCCTCCGAGCCATACCTGTTGTGCAGCTCCATCATTACCCCTCCACAGTCAGAAGGCCACCTTACACTGTGTAGGAGGATGTGGCTTAGGCTGGAGTCCTAATGAGTCTCCCATTTACCTTCTTCAGCTTAAACTATGTGGAGACCAGGATCTGCCAGCCCCACAGAGGGTCAGGACCTGCTTTCCAACCCGCTGGCCAACACAGCAGAGAGGGACAGATTGAGAGGTGCCTTCCCTCCCTGTCCCGAGGTTAGGTGGGTGGCAGGGGTGGGAAAGCGGGGAGCGGAGAAGGAAAACTGAAATGTTTCTTTTCAACAGTTTATTGCAATAGTTTCCTCTTCTGTGGGTTGAGGATGGGGGAAAAAGTGTCACTGGGACAGCCCCACCCCTAGACCTCATGGGGTTATCCTGGGTTGTACAAAAATGGCCAAAAATGGCATAATACTGGCGGTGCATGTGCTCTGGGTTGTAAGTGGCACGTGCATCAGGATACGTTGTCTGGGTGTGGCACACCTCTTCTTGGATGAGAGAGGGTTTCTTCCTAGTTATTCCGCAGTGTGGCCCCTAGTGTAGTTTCGAGTGTTGATGTTACCAGGGGGGAAGTGAGGGCTTGGAGTTTAGGACGTGGCTGTGAGAGTCTCTGACGGGTGTAGGTGTGGACCCCAGCATCTGAAGGCAGAATTGTTCCCTGGTTGGTCATGCGTGTTGGGTGGAAGGTGAAGCAGCAGATGGTGAGGGAAGCCAGGCGCCCTGTGGAGAATCCTTGCTCCAGAGCGCTGGCCTTCCTGCCAACTGCATCCCCATGAAGTGTTCCCTGTAGCCTTTCCATGTTCTGTACACTTTATGGGTGTGAGCTGCAGGAGACCAGGGACCGTCAGGTTGAGATTCCCTGTGTTGCCACAGGACAGTCATTTTGCAAAGGCCCCGGGCAGGGGAGCAGAGGTGAGCCACCAACACTGTGGAAAGCACACAGACACGTTTGCTAATGAGCTGGTTTCTTTGTGGAGCTTTCATCAAGGAGGAAGGGGGAAGTTTGGCTTTTCTTACTGCTTCCGGAGAGTTCTTTACAGGGTTGGGTTAAATGAGGTCAAAGGAGCACTCTGTAGGATCCCAAGGCATTGGATTCCATGGCTCGCACCAGCCCTCCTTAGTTCCTGAGGCCCAGCTCCCTGGAGGGCACAGCCTTCTACTTTCCAGGCTCCTCTGGGAACCACGAGGAAGAGAGGAGGCGGGATTGTCTTGTCCATAAAAAAAGAATAGAGTTTCTACCGCTTAGAACATTTTTCTGCCTCATAAGGCATTTCCAGCTGAATTGACAGTTCTCTGTGATAAATGTACTTGAGTTTTAGGTTAAAAATTTTTTTTCATCCTATATGCATTAATCCAGACATGGATTTATGGTTGGGTAGCCCAACCCTCCCCTGAAGGGAAAAAAAAGAACAATTTAAAAAGTCAAACCATTGGCTGGGTGTGGTGGCTCATGCAGGTAATCTCAGCAATTTGGGAGGCCCTGGCAGGAGGATTGCTTAAGGCCAGGAGTTTGAGACTAGCCTGGGCAACATAACATAGTGAGACTCCTATCTCTACCTACACAAAAAATTAACAAACCAACCCAGTGCTTTGGGACCCTGTAATTTGAAACAAGCTGGTGAATGCTAGTTATAGCTACCGTTAGGTTAGTTGCCTACACGGAGCCCCTCTCTGCGAATCCGTGTGCTGCACCACAGCTCAACAGGCCCGTCTACCTTGTAAGATCCCCAAGGGGACTGCTGCAGCCCTCAGTGCCTAAGCTGATACCTGATCTGCTGGGCATGGGTCTGCTGGCATGTCAGTATCACCGTGGGGGCGGGGGTGGGGGACTTGTCGGAAATGCAGATTCAAGGCTCCAACGCAGACCTTCTTACCAGAACCTTGTGTTGGGGGCTGGGATCTGTATTTAAAATAAGTGATTCTGATGCTGCCAGCCAGGACCCTCATGCCAGTGACATTGGAGCAGGTCACTAAAAGCCCCACTTTAGTTGAGGATGCTGAGGTCCTGAGAGAGCAGGGACTTGCATGGGCTGAGGTCATGTTGCTGAAGGAAGGCGCCTGTGTCTCTTCCTTGAGAGCTGCTTTTCTCCCTGCAGCCGCTCTGGCCCATACAGTGTTCAGGCCTTGTGTGTGTCCTTGTGTCCTGTAGAGTCCTTGGGCAACAGGTGGTTGTGTTCACACTCATTCTTGGAGGCAAGTTTTATGGATGTGCTCTTGTGATGGTGGGGCGGTGGTAGGGGGGAGGTGGGGATAGGGCAGCTGGGTAGCCGTCTGCCTGTCATTCTCCCCAGCTGGTTTCTGAGGTCAGACAGAAGGAGGGTCTGGTGGGTGAGTGGTGGTGTCTAGGCTGTGCCCGTCAATTCCACACCGTGGGAGAGGTGGAGCGGTCACAGGTTCCGTTTCCAGAGGAGTGTGGTTTCATGTCCCTTCTTGGCACTTCTTTCTCAGAACATTGCAGACCAGCAGCCAGCCTGCCGTGGCTGCCTCACAGGAAGGGGTTTTGCAAGTAGCCACTCCGTGGAAGCTGGTTTCTCACTGGCGGATGTGGGTGGGTCGCCTCCTCACCTCTAGGGTGGCCTTGTCTCCTTTCGCCTTGGGCTGTGTTACTCTCCTCACCTGGGAAGTGGGGGGTGAGCAGGGGGCTGGCATGGGACCACTGCCCTACGGGCCTCTGATCCTGTCCCTACCTGTGCACTTGAGGCACTCCCTCCTTCCCCACTGTTCAGCCACTGCATTGGGGGCAGGGGACCGTGGAGGACTTCGGGGTCCACCTGGATTGCCACTGGGGTTCAAAAAGGAAAGCAGCAAAGGTAGGCCAGGCCCTCAGAAAAGTCCCTCGGAAATAGCACCCTCCTGCAGTAGGATCTCTGAGGTTGCTTTGAGGGTTAGACACAGATAAAAAACAGTGGCCCCACCCTTCACTCTGTAGTTCACAGGGTCTTCCCACATAGGCTGTGTAATCCAAGCTTCATTACAGCCCTGGAGGACAAAGCTATGGCTATAGTCTGGGTTGAGGTGGAGTGGGGGGCGAGTGACAGGGGAGGGAGGGAGCAGGGGGATGGCTGCTGGCTGCAGTGGCCTTCCTCACCTCTGAGGGCTGAGCTTCAGAGGTTTTCAGAAAATGTTGCATGAATGAGTATGGAGTCCTCATCTTGGCTTTTCTTCACTGGGCACAGTTGGATCATGTCCAGACCTGCCTGCACGTTCATCTCCCAAACATGGCTCTTTGTGGTCAAGCCCGTTTCTTCTGTTGGCTCTGGTGGGTGGAAAGAACGTGGACTGTGAAGTCCCCTGTCCTTGGTTCCAATCCTGGGCTGTCATTGCTCTCTTGTCCTTGGGCAAGTCATGTGACCTTTCTGAATGGTTTCCTCAACCATGAAGTGGAAAAAAATCAATTCCCAATCGAGAGGTGATGAGATCAATATTTGGGAAGGCTCCAAGCCGAATTTCTGGTACTTAGAAGACACTTAAAAAGCATCTTTCTTCCTTTCAAAAATCTCCCTTATCCTTTCGTTTGTCTTTTGGAGAGCTGATTTAACCTGAGTTTTGCATTACCTATACCTGGCCTTGGTATCAGGCCTCTGCTTGGACCAGTAAAGGGTCATGAGGGAAATGATCGGGAGCTTTCTAGAATCCGCATATGAGCTGGTTTGGGGGAAAGGTTTTAACGCTGAGCCTGCCATCTCACTAGTCACACATCTCTCCGCAGATTCTGCTTCTCAGAAGATGCACTATTATAGATACTCTAACGCCAAGGTCAGCTGCTGGTACAAGTACCTCCTTTTCAGCTACAACATCATCTTCTGGGTAAGTGGATGAGAGCTGCCACATTCCCTTGTTTAGTCCTTCATTCAGTAAATTATGGTTTTCCACACACTCTTGATTTGCCAGACACTATGTAAGGCTCTGGGATAAGGTGGTGGGCAGGGTCAGTGACCCCTACCCTCACAGAACCAGTTGCAGCTGTGGGGATGGGGGAAGGCCAAAGGCCGAGGTGATTGAAAGCCAGAGTAAGGCCAACCCAGCCTTGGGGGTTCAGGAAGCCTTGGGGCTCTGGCCCAGATGCCTGTCTGTCTCCCCTACCTGCCCCCTGTTCCGATCCTGGGAGTGCCCCAATGAGACATCAGCAGCAAGGTACTTTGTGTGCATCTGACTATGGGCCAGGCCCTGTTTTAGGTTCTGGGAGGTGATAACAGACAAGGGCAATAAAGTCTTATCCTTGTAGTGCTTATGTGTAACCAAGAGCCATGTTAGCCTCCTGAGCAACAGGACAGTGAGGGAGAAGCTCCTTGGATAGGGTGACCAGGGACAGGCATTCTGTGGAGGTGACTTGTGGGCTGAAAACTTGAGTACTAATGAAGAGGCAGCCAAGCAGGAGTCTGGGGAAGAATGCTCCAGATAGACAGAATGGCAGCTGCAAAGGGCCTGAGGCAGGAATGAGCTTTGTGTGTGCAAAGGACAAACAGAAGGCCATGTGGCTGGAGCTGAGTAAGTGGGAGAAGGGACACAGGTGGGGACAGAGGCATGCAGGATTCAGGTCACAAAGGATCATACAGGTCTCAATAAATAGTTGGAATTACTTTCTACTGCTTTAAATAATTATTGGAAGGCTTGTAAGTTGGGTGGTGTGATCTGATTTTGTAGTGACTGCAGAGTGAGGGGATGGATGGTGGTACCAGGTTCTGAGATGGGATTTGGGGTAGAAGGGGTACATTTAAGTTATCTCATAGCCAGCCTCAGGGAGATACTATTTCCTTTGTCGTTGACTGTCCTGGAGATGGAAGTCTTGGCCAACCACCATCAGAGGAAGGGCTGGACCAGATGAGAGCATGGAAGATGGGTGTGTTGACTGAGAAGAGGAGAGGTCTGAATATTGAGCCCTAGGATGCTAGAGGTTGGGTCGAGGAAGAAAACCCACTCCCAAGTTGGCTGAGAGCGAGTGGCCTGTGGTAAAGGGAAGACCAGGAGATTGTGTATTGTAGAAGCCTTTAAAGTAGAAAGGCACAGTCAACCATGGTGCAGGGAGGTGAAGAAGGATGAGGACAGGACATTGGTAATGGCTTAGACAAAGTGGAGGTTGTTGATGTTGACGGGACCACTGTGAGCTCTGGGTAGGGGATCTGGGCGGGTGGATAGAAACCCAGCTGGAGTCGGCTGAGGAGCCAATGAGAAGTAAAGAAGTGAAGGGGATGACTCTTGACAGTTCTTCCAAGGATGCTTGCCTTAAAGAGGAGAAGAAAAATTTGGACACTGGCTGGAGATGGTCAAGGGATTAAGGGAGATATAGCATGTGTTTATTGCCAGTGGGATTGGTCCAGGGAGAGGCAGACATTGATTCTGTGCAGGAGGGCCTGGGGACATGATCATGCACAGAGTCTTTGAAAACCATTAAACATAGTTTATGAATATCTGTGTGGGGGTAGGTGGAGAAAGAAGGACAGAATGAGTGGCCATGATGTCACATTTTGCTTCTACTGCAGATTTGGCATCTCCTATGGGGACTGGAACTCTTGAAAACAAGGCAGACTTACTAAGCCTTCTCAGCCTTGCAAGCTTGATTTTACAGCTTCATCTCCTGGTGATTTATCTTAGTATGTTTGGGGATTTTCTGTCCTAGAGAAATAAGGTGGGATTCAATGGCTTGGTCTTTTAGCCCACATCTTTTCCTGTGGTCCGATAACTTTGCACCAACATCTGCATCATTGTCCCTGGAATAGGGCATTGCTGGATATTTGATGTGGTGCCTCTGGGTCCCTCTTAATGCGGGAGTCCATGCTCCATCCTCATGATGTATGGCTTCTCAGAGCAGCATTGTTCCCTGTCTGGAGAGCCCTCTGGCCTTACCTGGTGTTCCCCTCCACCATCCCGCACCCCCAGGCAAGTATATGGTGGAGGTTCGCTGGGCTAGGCAGGCAGTCTGTCACTTGTGCACTTGGACACCCAGTTGCTCCTCTCTGTGGGTGTGCTGCTTGGCTTTGTGCCTCAACCTCCAACTCTCATCTTGATTTCTGCAGCTAGAGCAGCACTCTCCCACTACTGCTGTGGCTGAGGGCCCTGGTATCTTCATTTCTTCAGAGGGTTTCAGGAGAGAGTTTTTGACATCAGGGAGCTCTACTAACTTGCCCAGTAACACGTTTGCAGCACTATATTCCAGTAGTGGAGTGCATGAATCCAGCATGGTAGCAAGTCTGCTTGGTGGTTGAAGGGTGCTGCAGTGTTTTTGGGCTTTTGCAGATTTGGCAATGTGTGTTGAAAGTTAATCATTTTTCAGTTAGTGTGCCTTGGGGCAGAACAGGAAGGAACAAACAGGAACAGTCAGGAAGACCAAACATGAGAGAGCTTGGTTGGGAAATAAGAGTGGGAGGCCAAGTGCCTTGCCTAGGGGGAAGCTGCTGGACCCTCCCCACTGGGTTCCTGGTAGTGATGTGCAGTCTTCATTTGCAATGGAGCTGGCAAATGGGGTGAGGCCTGAGATGGGCGCACAGACCTCTGGGAAGCTCACGGTGTAGCAGGAGGGTGCCGGGCTGGCTCTGGGCACCCAGGGCCTCCCTGAGCTGAGTGACCTGGCTAAGCCTCAGTGTTTTCCTTGTGATGTAGCACTCTCAGCTGCCTAGTGTCTGCCTCAGGTTGCTGAAAATGTATAAAGTGGAATGCCCAAGCCCTTACCTCTTCAGATAAGTTTTCTTTTTTTTTAAATGGAGAAAATATGAAAGTAGGATAATAAAATGAACTCCATGTTCCCACCATCTAGCTTATTTGATTTGTATCCCCCTGCCCAACCCTTTGGATTATTTTGAAGCAAAGCCCAGGTAGATGATTTTGCAGTGTTTTTATTTGTATTTTGTTTAATGAATTAACAGTGAGCAGTGGTGCAGAAGGATTGCACGTGTTGATGGTGGACACTGGGCTCAGCAGGCAAGTTTGAATGTGCAGAAGGCAACTTGTTGCTTCTGTGACCAATCCTAGGTGTTGGGACAAATATGAGGTTTTATTTAGTAGTTTGCCCTCACTTAGAATTATTTTCACAGGCCTGGCGCGGTGGCTCACATCTGTAATCCCAGCACTTTGGGAGGCCGAGGCAGGCGGATCACGAGGTCAGGAGATCAAGACCATCCTGGCTAACACGGTGAAACTCCGTCTCTACTAAAAATACAAAAAATTAGCCGGGCGTGGTGGTGGGCACCTGTAGCCCCAGCTACTCAGGAGGCTGAGGCAGGAGAATGGCGTGAACCCGGGAGGCGGAGCTTGCAGTGAGCCAAGATCGCGCCACTGCACTCCAGCCTGGGCGACAGAGCGAGACTCAGTCTCAAAAAAAAAAAAGACTTATTTTCACAATAGCATTCTTTATAGATAAATACCGTTTGGTACCTAATAGATTTTTTTAAGCTCTCTTTCTGACTTTGGGGCCAAGGTTTTCCCGGGATTGTTAAAACCTGCTTGGGATAAGAAATGTGGATGCCACTGATGTTTGCATGTCTGTTCTGAACCTCTTGGTTTACAGAATGAGAATGGAATGGGCTTCATGAGGTTCTTATCACAAGGATGTTAGGGAAAATATGCTTCCATGCAACATGGCTTTTTGAGAGCGCTAGTGTTTTTTACTTACTGAAAAAATCATTCTTTGGTTGTGCTAGACCTGTTTTTAGTGCAAAAATCTCACTTTGACTTAGGAAATGCAAATCAAAACCACAATGAGATACCACTTCACACCCATTGGGATGGCTATTATTTTAAAAAATGGAAAATAACCGATGTTGATGAGGATGTGGAGAAATTGAAACCTTTGTGC
The DNA here is from genome assembly GCF_000001405.40 of Homo sapiens. NCBI lineage: Eukaryota > Metazoa > Chordata > Mammalia > Primates > Hominidae > Homo > Homo sapiens. Next base: position 80,493,297 of record NC_000010.11, read on the forward strand.
ACTGTTAGTGAAAATGTAAAATGGTGCAATTGCTATGGTAAACAGTATGGTAGTTCCACAAAAGTTAAAAATAGAATTACCGTATGATCCAACAATTCCACTTCTGGGTATAACCAATAGAGCTGAAAGCAGGATCTCGAAGAGATATTTGTACACCTATGTGCACATTCATAGCAGCATTATTTACAGTTGCCAAAAGGTAGAAACAACCAAAGTGTCCATAGATGATTGAGTGGATAACCAAATGTGATATACAGATGTGAAAGAGCTTAAAAAGGAAGGCAGTTCTGTCACATGCTACAGCATGGGTAAACCTTGAGTACATAGTGCTGAGTGAGATAAGCTAGATGCAAAAAGACAAACACTGTATAATTCCACTTATATGAGGTGCCCACAGTAGTCAGAATCATAGAGACAGGAAGTAGAATGTTGGTTGCTAGGAGCCCGGGAAGGGAAGATTGGGGAGTTGTTGGTTAGTGGGTACAGAAGATCTCACTTTGATGTGCAGAGGAAGGGAAGCTGGGAGAGGCGTACACTGGAGGAGTGGCATCTGGCTCTTTGTCTTTGTTCATTTATACCCCCCACTGGTTCCACAAAGCACTTGGACTTTTCTAAGTTTGCCGAGTGAATCCTCTAGAGGGATGATTCCGATAATGTCTGCAACTCCAGGGTTGGTTTCCAACACAAGCATTGGCTTTAATCTGCATGCAGAGGTTGGATGAAGTCCTTGCCTGGATCTGCTTCAGAGATGGATTAAAAGTGAAGAACTGAGACCCTTTCTAAATAGACTGTAGGCCTGTGTTACACAGGAAAGTCCTTTGCTTGCCTTTAGTTTAAAAAAATTTTTTTTAAATGACATTCTGCCATTGGCTTTCTCAGTGACTTGGGTCTGTTTGAGCCTACCCTTGTAAAATGTGTGAATTCACCTCTGCGCAGCCTGTTTCTGAGTGAGATGAGAGCCATGGACATCTGTGCTCTGTGACCAGCATGGCTTAAGGCCTATTCCTTCAAAGTCACAGATGCCTCCTGTGAGTAGGGCGAACATGTAATCTGTGGTTCAACTTTTGACAGTAAGAGAATTTTGAGAGAGTCTTGCGAATTTTGCCAGAACAACAGGTGTACCCCAGGCCTCTCCTGTGCAAACCTGGGCATGTGGCCACCCTGCACAAGAAAGGGAAGACAAGCCCAAGGTGGAAAGATCAACTCTCTTCCCTTACCTCTGTGTAGGGCATCTTTGCAGGTGGGGTCTTATTCTCTTCCTCTGACTTTTATTATGCTCCTCTTTATAGAGGACTTGCCACCTCCCAGGATAGTCTGCTGTTCCTGGGCTCTTCTGACTGATGGAAAATTGCCCTTATTTGAGCTGAACTCTGCTCCTTTGATATCAGACCCCAAGGCCTGATCCCTAGATCTTCAGACAAATGATTTCTTCATTTCCATCTCAGTAATGCAGTCAAAAGGGAAAAGTCTAGTGTTTTAATAATGTATATAGTGTATTTTTGTTTTCACTGCTGGGAAGATGTCCCTTTTTCTCTTCAGGTAGTATTTAATCAACTTTTGTAATTTCGTGGAAATTCATAAAGGCTAAACAAGGCATCCCAGGTTTACTGCATTTCCTCTTCCATGCCCCAGCGTCCTGTCTGCAGGCACACAGTTTCATATCCTGTGAGTAGTATCCTTGCAGTCTTAAGATACGCATTTTCACATCAGCATCTGCTAATATAGAACATCTACTAATATAGAACATTCCAGGTTGCAACATTATCTTTCCAATTGTATTTTTAGAAATTCCCATATTGGACATTTAGGTTGTTTCCAATTTTTTTGCTATCCTAGATAAGGATGCAGTGATTAGTTTATGTAATACGCATTCTTCCCTTTAGGGAAGGGAGGGAAATTATTTGCTGAGATAGATTCCCAGGAGAGATTAATTGGGTCACAAGGTGTGTACATTGTTTTGACCTGCCTGAACATACAGTCAAAATCACATCCCCAGAACGACTGCCCCAATTCATAGGAAGTTGACTGTCTTTTGGCACTGTGTGTGTGTGTGTGTGTGTGTGTGTGTGTGTGTGTGTGTGTATGTACATGTGTGTATTTCATCATTTAGGCTTGCCAAGGCAGAGGGCAGGGATTGCTTAATCAGAAACTCCACTAGAACTTAAGGAGTGGCCTGTGGTGCTGATGCCTGCATGGCCTCAGCCCCTGATTTCCCCAACTTAGGCAAGTGTGAGGCTGGGACCACCAGTTGGGATTACTGAGGAAGGGATGTTCAAGGTGCTCTGAGATTATTGCCTGGCACACAGGACTGTTAAATGCTTGCACGTACTTTCAAGTCTTAAGTAGTTTGGTGTGCTTGTATAACTCTGCCTCCTTGGCTGGTAAATAATCAGCATGGCATAGTCTACAGGAGTGATTTTTCTTGTTTGTACTTTTTTTCTTTAATGGAAATCCTTTTTATAATGATCACTTCTGTTGATGTCTGATTTAGATAGAATAACATTTATTCATTTCAACTGTACAGTTCAGTGACAGCTGTACATGCCACATAATCACCATCATCACAATGAAGATATAAAACATTCCCATCACCCCAGAAACTTTCCTTGTGCCCCTACAGTCATGCCTGCCCCACCCTACCCCTTCCCTGGGTGATGGTTGTTCTGCCTCCTGTTGCTATAAATTAAACTCTTTGGTATCTGACTTTTTTTTAGTTAGGTGGTAGTGTCTCTGTTGTTTTTCTGTTTTTAATTACTTTTTAAAAATCTTTTGAAATAATTTCTTATTTTTTAATTGTACAATATACGTAACAGAACATTTGTTATTAAAACCATTTAAGTGTATAGTTCATTGGCGTTAAGTACATTCACATTCACCTTGATTGGTGTTCTTATTTTTATTATTTTTTCCTTTCTACTTGGGATTATTTTGCTTTTTCTTAGCTACTTAAACTGGAAGATTAGATCACTGATTTTTAGATTTTTTTCCTAATATAAATATTTGAAGCTGTACATTTTCTGCATCCCACACATTTTGATATGTTTTCACTTGATTTGGTAAAAATAGTTCGCATATGCATACTCTATGAACTGTGTCTCCTCCCACCTCCAGGCTGACTTCAAGAGTTTCTCCTTTTATTCTGGATTATAGCAATTTTATACATGCTGGTATAGTTGTCTTTGTGTTTATTCTGTTTGGGGTTCATTGGGCCTTTGAGATTTGTGGGTTTATAGTTTTCATCAGATTTGGAATATTTTAGCCATTATGTTTTCAAACGCACACCCTTTTTCTCCCCTTCCCTGTCCCATTTCCCTAGGACATTGTTTATCTAGGGCACAGAGGCTCGGTTTAGTTTTTTATTTTGTTGAGTGTTTTACCATTCTCCTTTAGTTTCCATAGCTTTGTCTTCAGCTTTACTGATCTTTTCTTCCATACTGTCTCATTGGCTGTTAAACCCATCTAGTGAAGTCTTCAATTCTAATATTGTAGTTTCTATTTCTAGTCGTTACATTTAGGTATTTTTTATGTCTCCAATTTCTTTCCTTATCTTATTTATATTTTCCTTTAAATTCCTGAACATATTTGCAATACTTGTTTTGAAGTTGTTGGGATTTCATCTTCTTTGTCATTCTTGTGTCTTCTATTTACTGAATTTTTTCTCTTATAGCTCACTTCTTTCCTTTTCTTGCCTATCTAGTAACTTTTGATTGGATATTAGTTATAGTTTTTCTACTAAGTATTCTTCCCTAACAGTATTAAGTCTTTTGTGTCTGACATCTTTCATTTAATATCATATGTGAGATTCATTCATGCAGTTATACGTAGTTGTAGATCATTTATTCTTGTTGTGTAATATTCTATTGTGGGGATATATAATTTGTGTTATTTACAGTTTTAGGCTATTAAGACCTGTTACAGTGATATAAAAACATACCAGTGTTGGAGACCTGAGTATAGGGTATCCCAGGCTTTGTGTGGCTGAGCAGGATGACATCCCATCTTTCCTCTCCAGGTCCAGATGGTTTTAGTGTGATAGTTTACAGCTGAGCTTTTCAGACTATGGCTTGCAGGCCAAACCTGGCCTTCCGCCTGTTTTTACACATACAATTTTATTGGAACACAGCCACACCCATTCATTTATGTATTATCTATGGCTGCTTTCCCATTATAACAGCAGAGTTGAGTAATTGCTACGGGGATCATCCAGCACACAAAGCTGAAAATATTTACTATTTGGCCCTTTACAGAAATGCTGACCACTGCCTTAGTATCTTGATTTTCTACCCACTGTTAATCACTGTGAACTGTGCCAAAGTTAGGTTGGGGGGTTCCCTCTCTCCTGGGGGTACTGCCTATCACCTCCCTTGAATGGCTGTGCTCCCTCCGCCTGCCTTCATTTCCAGGGCCTTGACTCAGGTTCCTGGGCGGGGCTCAGTGGGGGTCAACTCTGTTATCTGGCAACACAGAGACAGCTGTGGAAGCTGCCCCTGGAGCCCTCTGCACAGTCCTTCCCCACATTGGGGCCCTCACATGGGTTTGCTGGCTCTGCTGGGAGGGCACATGTGTTGCCTTTTCTCAGAACCACCCTTCCGGCAGGAGGAAAAGCTGGGGTGTGATAGCTATGTGACCCCATGCAAGGCACCTCCTGCTCTGGGCTCTGTTTCCCTCTGTCATAAGGAAGCCGAGCCCTAGCATCCCTTCTGGCTCCCAGACCTTCCGAACTCCCACTGACAAGTGGCTTGGTTCAGGCTTTCAACACAGGACAGATAACTGCAGCTCCTCCCTTGGCCCACTGGGCTCTCAGGCCAGGTTGGGTCTGGGGTCTGCACCCTCTGGTCCTTTTTGGCTTCAAATTCTATTCAATCGTCAGCATTTCAAGTGGCCACAAGCATCTCTGTTGTTTCCTGAATGCCCCAGGCCTGGATTCAGGATTTCTTATTCTGGAGAGTACCAGGACCCTGGGGTTTCCGTCTGGTGTAATTTATAATGGCAAAACTCAGCCAGTGGGAGGTGCATGGGTCCTTGCTGCTTATTTTGCTGATTGACAGACTGAGGCCCAGGAGAGGGATGGCTTCCTCGAGACCCTGACTCTGTGAGTTAGGGACAAAGCTGAGACTCAGTCCTGGCTTCCTCCACTCTCTGCTGTTTTCTTTCCATCATCCTTTCCTACCTCACTTGAAAAGCCTCCAGAAGGCCGTATTTCCCTAAGCTCTGCTTCACTGTTGTCTCCAGAAGCCCAGTAAAACAGGTGCCTCTGGAAAGCACTTGGTCTTAGGACAGAAGCTGGTGCTGGAAGTAATTGGGGGTGGGGTACAGAACACCAGTGTCAAGAGAAGGAGACTCTGTCTTCAGGACAGCAGATGCTTGTGGCATATCCTTGAACGCCCCTCACATCTCTGCTCTGTCTGCCGTGCGGGAGGGCATGGCCACCTTGAGACTGGCTCTGTGCCTGGAGTAAGCATGTCACGTAGGATCTTCCTTCAATCTTTACAACCTTCCTGTGACCTAGGAAAGATAATCCCTGTTTTGTAGAGAACATAGGCTCAGAGAAGGTCTTGGACTCGCATGAGGCCCTGTCACTAGGTAGCTACAAAGCAGAGACTGGACCCAGGGCCGGCTTTGTTCAGGGGAAGAGGCTCTGTGAATGTCAGGCTGAGTCAGCGTGTGGATTGTGCAAGACCCGGAGGCCAGCAGGGCAGAGCCTGAGAGCATCGCCTGCTGCTGGTGATTCGCCTTGATCTTGCTGAGGAAAGGCCTCTGGGGCCTGCAGGAGTTGCCAAGTACTTTTATACACGCTTAAATGAAATCTTGCAAGGAGCCAAGGCCATTAAATCATGGGTGAGAGGCTGCCTTTGACCTGCTTGGAGCTGCATCTTTCTCCTCCAGTTCAGCAGGGCCTGGCCGGGTGTCACTTCCTTTTGTGACTTGATTGTGCTTGGGTAAAGTACCACAAGCTTGCTCGTGTGGTAAGTGGATTTCTTGTGTCTGGACTCTGGCTGGACCAGCCCAGAGTGCCCCAAGAGGACCTCCTGCCTTTCGCAAGGTCATTTGCCTAAGGTGAAAGGTCAATATTTAATCTTCACAGTGACCCACAAAGAGGCCCTGCTGCCTTGTCCACCTGCCCTGGTTGGGACACAGCGTGGTCTCACTGCCTGACAGTGTGGGTCATTTGGCTGTAGAGCTGCACAACCCCAAAGCCCCCCTGTGGAATTCCTACATCCCCGGGCTCTTGTGTGAGTGCCCGTGTGTGGAAGGCAGCTGCTCTGTGGGTGGTAAGATACTGTGTTGCCAGGGTCAGAGGCATCCAGGTTTGGTTCTTAAGTCTGCCACCAGCTAGCCGTGTGACCTTGGGCAAAGGACCAAATTGCTCTACATTTGAGCTTTCCCATGTGAAAAATGAGGGTAATTGAGCCAGAGTTATGGGATATGGAGGGATAGCCTTAGGTCCATTAAGTATTTAATGCAGCGCACAGCTCCCAGGAAAGGGCAGCTATTCACAGTGACCATAGCAGTTTAGGTGCTCGCTGGTCCAGCAGAGGAGGCTGGCCTCTCCTCAAGCTGGGCCGGAGCTGGGCCCCGTTCTTCAGTAGGTAATTCAATTAGGTCATGGGAGGGAGACAAAGAAGGTCACTTGAGGCTGGAGGGCACTCAGCTGAACCCTCACTCCCAGAAGATTGGCAGCCAGGGCTCACAGCAGCCAGGGCTTACCTGGCCTGGCCCCATGGACCATCTGCTGCAGAGTTCCAGGGAAGGGTTCCGTGGGGTGAAGCGGGCCAATGACCCAGTTCATTCATGGGACCGTTATGTGAGCTCTCAGGCAGATCACTTCCCCTGTCTAGTCCTCCCTCAATCTCCTGGTCTCTGAAACCAGGTTTGTTGGTACTCAGAGTTCCTGCCCTGGGCCACTGTTCATTGAACCCATGATCTGACATGTGATCCCCAAGTTCCTGTCTTTCCGGTGTGAGTTAACTTTAGTTCTTCCTTTAAAACAGAATGAAAACAACACAAGGCCTTATTCTTTTTTTTTTTTTTTTTTTTTTTTTTTTTTTTGAGACGAAGTTTTGCTCTTGCTGCCCAGGCTGGAGTGCAATGGCGTGATCTTGGCTCACCGCAACCTCCACCTCCCAGGTTCAAGTGATTCTCTTGCCTCAGCCTCCTGAGTAGCTGGGATTATAGGCATGTGCCACCACGCTCGGCTAATTTTTTATTTTTAGTAGAGATGGGGTTTCTCCATGTTGGTGAGGCCGGTCTCAAACTCTTGACCTCAGGTGATCCGCCTCCCAAAGTGCTGGGCCTCCCAGCACTCGGCCTCCCAAAGTGCCGAGATTTCAGGCATGAGCTACCACGCCTGGCCAAGTCCTTATTCTTAGAGCTGAGAGAAAGAGAACTGCACGCAGTGGTGGGGAGCTGGCTTCCCCAGTAAACACAGAGTCAGCCAGGGCTTTCCCTGGGGGCCTTGAGAAGAACAGCAAGCGAGGGAGGGTGTGGTCTGTGGGCCATATGCAGAGCGGTAAGCGGCCCTACAGCGGCCCTGCATGTGGGGAAGGGGCGATTGGAACAGAGGTGAGCAGGAGCAGGCCTACCTTTGCATGGGCACTGTGCCCCTGAGGGTGGGGATATGAACTGCTCTTGAGGTCGAGGGTCTTTTTTGAGAACTTGTGCAGACCAAAATTCCTTTTGTGAAACCAGTCACCTCTTCCTATTGTATCTATTTAGTCACTATTTAGTCACCTAGGAGAACAAAACAACTAAAACAGCACCTCAGCGTGAATTCACAGAAACCTATTAATATAGATGGAACTGACGCTGTTTTTTTTTTTTTTCTTTTTTTTTGGGAGACCTGGTCTTACTCTGTTACCACCCAGGCTGGAGTGCAGTGGTGCAATCTCACCCTTGACCTCCCAAGTTCAAGCAGTCCTCCCACCTCGGCCTCCCTGGTAGCTGGGAATACAGGCATTTTTTTTTTTACAGCTAATTTTTTTAGAAAACCTTTTTTTTTTTTTTTTTTTTAAGAGATGGGGGTCTTGCTATGTTGCCCAGGCTGGTCTTGAACGCCTGGGCTCAAGCAATCCTCCTGCCTCAGCCTCCCAAATTGCTGTGAGCCACTGTTCTCAGCCTGAGGCTGGTATTAATGTGGGAAACAATACCCTTAGAAGTCAGACTTAGTAGTCAAGGTGAGAGAAGGGGTGAGCTGTGAAGTGCAGTGTGGAGGAGAGAGGGGAGCTCCAGCAGTGGTTTTGTTGAGTGTCCTTAAGGTAGACTTTTCTCACCTGTCCCATGTGGCCCCACAGGATGAGCGGACTGTCATGGAAAGCTGTTAGGCAGGGGCTGGAATGTCTGTTGGGAATGCTGGATGGGGCATCGGCCTCTGGGCTTGTTCTGCTCTGACCATAGGCAAATGCCCCTGTATAGAGCTTGACCCATGCACCTGGGCCAGGCTGAGCTTTTCTTGGCCCACATTTGCTCTGAATGCCTTTGGATTGAATCACACCCAGAAGTGTGCCTGGGGGTAGCTAGAAGGACCCAGGCAAGCACTGTCCTGGTCTTGAATCCTGGGGAGTCACTCATGCCTGCTCTGTGCCTACTGAGGGCCAAGCCCTCCTCGTTGTTGGGCTGCAACTCTGAACAAAACAGGTAACATCTCTGGCCTCAGAAGGGCTTAGCTGGGGAGACACAATAGAGAGACAGCCCCTGTGGTCTGGGATCAGTGCCGCGAAGAAAATCAACAGAGGAGGTCACACATGGAGGATGGGGAGCAGTTCCACTCAGGGTGGTAAAAGGAGGCCTTGAACGCAGTGAGGGAGGAGCCAGGAATGGATATGGAGGAAGAGCATTGCCGGCTGAGGGAACAGTGTCCAGGCTCTGAGGCAGGGGTGATTTTGATGACTTCAAGAAACAAGAATGTCAGGGTGGCCCAGGGAGTGGCGTTGGAGCAGGGAGGTGGGAAGGAGATGCCGTGGGAGATGTGTGTGAAGCCTGGCTGCAGAGGCCCTTGGGGGCCATGGGAGAGACCGTGCATTTTCTTCTAGGTCTGCGTGGGAAGTCACTGCAGAGTTTCGAGGAGGGGAGTTCCCAGCTCTGTATTTTTGAAGGGTCAGTCTTGTTGCTTGGACCAGTGAGGAGCCCCGTGGGATCCAGACTCGAGTGGGTGGAGCCGGGGCAGGTGGGAGCAGAGACACTGGAGGAAAGCTGGTCGAATGCACTGTGTATTTGGAGGCAGAACCAGCAGAGGGTCCTCTGGGTTGAGTGTAGGGCAAAAGAGAAAGAAGGCACCAAGCCTGGGGTCTGGGTTTTCTCTCTTACACTTGCTGGGTGGACGGTGGTGCCACTGAATGAGACGGAGAAGAGTTGGGGGGAGCTCGGTTGGGGTTGGGGGACCAAGGCTGCGTAGTGGGGCACAGTAAGAGTAAAATATCGTTAGCTGTCTTAGGAGGACAAGTAAAGTAGACATTAGGGTATTTGACCGGGGGCATGGCCAGGACTGGACATCTGAGTGTGTCACTCAGCAATGTTTAGATGGTATTTAAGCCTTGTGAATTATGAGATCATCGAGAGGGCTCAGGGCAGGGTGAAGGAGCTAGGACTGTGAGTGAGGCCCACCAGCATCTAGAGGGGTCTGAAGGAGGAGGAGGAGGAAGAGCAGGGAGGAAGGCAGTCAGGGGCATATGCTTGGGGTCCCCGAAGCAGGGTGTGTCAGTGGAATGGTTGGAGGAGGAGAGAATGACCAGCTGTGACCAATGAGGTCAGATACCATGAGGAAAAGTCTTGGCCTCCAGCTTTGGCAAGAGGGAGGCAGGTCCCTGGGGGCCTTGAATAAGATGGGTGGGGATGGAGCCTGCAGGATTCGGCAGGTGGTGACCAGTCACCTTCAGGTTGCTCAGCATGCCAGTGTAAGACACCTGGGGAGGGAAAGGAAGCGGTCATGCATTCTATCAGGAAAACCCTTCCCAGCTAGTCAGTTCAGGGGGAGGACTGAGAAGCGGGAAAAGGGTGTGGTGTGATATGGTAGAAAGGGCTCTACCCCCTTGGCTTGGTGCTGTATCCAGTACTTGAGACGGTATCTGGCACTCGGGATGTACTCCGTGAATATTTGTTGAATGAATGAGTGAGGAGTGAATGAATGAACTGAGACTTGTGATTCAGCCCTTCTCCCCACTGCCTGACATTTTGGTCTTGGCCCTCCCTGGGCCCCAGTGCTCTGCTTTTGTAAAATGGAGGGATTGGTTCTTGGTGGGGGTTCTTTACTTAGTGTTCACAGACCATTGTGGGAGCCAGCAGTGGGAAGCTGTGACCCCTCTAAAATTTCATGCAAAATACTGGGCATGTGTGCATTTTCTGAAAGTGATCTGTGATCCAGAAGAGGTTGGATCACAGATCACTTTCAGGTTGGATGAGACTTCCTGGGGCTTTCCTTGAGCCCTTTCTTTCCATTCTAGCCCCTGGGGCTAGTTACTGAGTAAAATAGGTAGAAGTGGCTCAAGGCTTGAGATCACCGGTAGTCATAGAGAAGCGTGGTCCTGTTATTTATCGTGAGATGGTGATAAATGGCAGTGAAATGCCAGTGTGGTGTAAAGTAGTCACAGAAAAACAGGAGGCAGCTTTATTAACAGAGCCCACGTTGTGTTTTGTTGTATATGGAAAAGCCCTCCCTGGTTCAGGAACCTGTGTGATGTATTTGGGTGGGCGCCTTTCTGTTGTGGTGCACATGGGGTATGGGTTCCTGCAGGTGGGAAGTTGGGGTTGGGGGTGGTGCTCCTCTGGGGCGAGCTCATTGCTTAGAGCAAGCCTATTTTCATTCTCTAGCTAAAAGCCCAGCCTTTCCTGAGCATAGATGCGCCCCCTGCTCATTGTAGTTAACAGTAGGGAGGAGGCTCAGCCCTGGCCAGTGAATGGCCTGGGCCACTGGATAGCTGCTTATCTGTGCCTGGAGTCTATCTCCAGGGCTGGAGAGCTGGGGTGTGTGGCAGAGATGCTGGGCTGTTTCCCCCTGTCCTCACCCTGTGGTGGTGCCTGGTCCTATGCAGTCTCATCCTGTGTTGGGAACCTCTGAGGGGACCTGGGTCAGCCCTCCCAAGGGGTGATGTCTTCGTATACACCAGATAGTGCACTGAAATGAGTTCAGGGTTGCAGAAAGGGGAAGAAGCAGCACAGCCTGATGTCTGTGACCCATAGTCTCTCCAGGGTGGAGTCCGCTCTGAGATCTTTTCCTCTTCCTTCCCTGGGGCATAGGGTCATCTGAGGTTGAAGGAGTTTGTCCAGATATTCAGGAAGGTAGGTTCAGGTTATCTGTCATCTGCGGGGCCTGAGGGGCCATGTGGGATGTGAGCTAGGAGCATGCCCTACCTGGCAGTGTGGACTTTGCTCTGTGAAGCATGTTCACAGTGCTGGTTTCCAACCTAACTTCCTTCTCTCTTTCCTCTGCCCCGCTTAGTTGGCTGGAGTTGTCTTCCTTGGAGTCGGGCTGTGGGCATGGAGCGAAAAGGTAGGTGTAACTGTCGCAGGACACTGAGCTTCAGGCAGCCAAAACCAGATTCGTTGGACTTCATTTTCCCTCCTCCAATCTGTTCCCTGACAACAAGCATTTCTTGTGCAGTGTCAAGGTGTATAATTGTCAATCTTTACAGACACAGCTCTTGCGTACTCTGCCCACATGATAGTATTGGCTGCTGGAGGTATGGGCTGGGCTGGTTGGGTTTTGAGCCCTGTGGATGTGGAGAGCTCAGCTCTTGTATGCAGCTGTGCCCAGAGCAGGCTTGGGCAATCCAGCTTCCTGACCCTGTCTGTGCCTCTGGGAGCAAGCGGGCAGGTCCCTGAATACAGGCATGCTTATTGTGGAAGCCCTTATCCTCCAGGATGAGAAAGAGCAGGCAGCAGGGAGCGGGGCTGGGTGACATGCCCCCAGGGTGCCCTGTGGGGCAGGGGTGGGCCTTTAAGCACCTCTGGGCCTCCTTGCCCAGCCTCAGGAGGAGAGGGGAGGAGTGGAGACCTGGCTCCTACTGTCGGGAAGGACATGGTGCAGTTGCGGCTCCAGGAAGGGGATGAGACTGGATATGGGCAGGGTGGGGCTGTGCTGCTGCTTGTTGCCCTGTGGCAGGGGTGCTGGGGAGGCAGTGAGGGCTGAAAAAGGCCAGGGAGGGAAGAGGGGAGGGGAGGGAAGCAGTAAGGTGGAGCAGGCCTGGCCAGAAAGAGCCAGGAATAAAGCTTCCTCTAGTGTCTTGAGCCTAGGCCTTCTTCCTTCAGTGGAACCTCCCTTTGCTTCCAGCAGGAGGAGGCAGGAGAACCTAGGTCTACAGGCTTTCCTGCCATGGTCTTAGGGACTGGATAAGGCCCACCTTCAGGTTTGGGCACCTTCCAAGTGGCCTGTGAACCCCTAAAGGGCAAGAGCTGGGGTACGATGTCCCTTTGCCCCAGTGACCCAGAAGCAGGTTCAATCTGTGCCTCACAGCACCACCGTGTGGCTTCCCCTGGGACTGCAGCCGCCTAACTGGGTGTGGCCCTGAGTGTGGAGCTGGCTACTACAATTCCTTTGAATCTGTCGATCTAAAATAAGTGAAAAGGCCAGAACCTAGTTTAGAGAGAGTTTATTCAAGCACACATGTTGAGGACAGGCCTACCCAGGAAGCACAAATTCCAAAGAATGGAAGTCAGCCTTCCTGTTCGAAATGTAGGAGCTTGGGATCATTTATCCAGCCAAAGCCAGACAGAGACTCTGTTGCCCAGGCCGGAGCGCAGTGGCTGGATCTTGGCTCACTGCAACCTCCGCCTCCCTGGTTCAAGAGATTCTTGTGCCTCACCCTCCCAAATAGCTGGGATTACAGGCATGTGCCACCATGCCTGGCTAATTTTTGTATTTTTAGGTAGAGATGGGGTTTTGCCATGTTGGCCAGGCAGGTCTTGAGCTCCTGGCCTCAAGTGATCTGCCCTCCTCGGCCTCCCAAAGTGCTGGGATTACAGACGTGAGCCGCCATGCCCAGACACCTATGTATGTCTTGATGCTTAGTCACAATGTTCTGATTAGTTGAGGCGGTCTTTTTCTTTCAGGAAAGGTATGTTTAACATTCCACACTGAAGATGTAATTGTCCCTGGGTCTTAGATGATATCTGATCTGAGTTAGTAAAGAACAATGAAGGAAGCAGTTAAACTATAACAGAGATCAGTGACTGGAAGGGGGGCTGTGGTCTCTCCGGTCCCTTAGTTCAACCATAATCTAAGAAACAGAATTGCAAACATGCTACATGACTCAGTCTCCAGGGCTTAGCTTCCCCCTTGGCGTTTTACAAACCCTATGGAACTGCTCTGCCCATTGTGTGACTGTGTTTATATTTAAATTGAAATTGAATATAAATTAAAATTCAGTCCTTCTGTCTCATTAGCCACATTTCAAGTGCTCCACGATACCTGTGGCCAGACAGTGGGGGTATAGTCTAAAACACCTCCATTGGTGTAGAAACTTCTATGGACAGCATTGCTTTGGCCTGCCCTTGGGCGTGTTTTCTACTAGAGTGTTCATATTGAGGCTGTTTTCATCTCAGAAGAGTAGTGTTCTTCATTAATTAGGTGCCAAATTGGGGGACTAACAAGGTCAGCCACCTGGGTGACCAGTTTGACCACAGGCCACAGGGCCCCGTTTCCCTCCAGGCCTGGAATAGGCACCCCACAGGCTGCAGAAGAAGCCTGGTGGCTGCCTAGGAGGAACTTGTAGCGTAGGTGGAGGCCAGGAACACTTTCTGGGACCTGAGGTGGGCAGGGATCGCCTGGTCGGAGGGGCCCCTAAGGGCATGGATGGGGCCGGACTCTGGCCTGGCTGTCAACAAGAGGGCTGAGCCTGGGGAAGCAAGTCCCTGTTTTCAGTACCACCTGCATCCCCCAGGGCAGCATCCTTGACTCCCCTTCTGGGCCAGTGCTGCCCTGCTTTCTCTGTCTCTTTCAGGGTGTGCTGTCCGACCTCACCAAAGTGACCCGGATGCATGGAATCGACCCTGTGGTGCTGGTCCTGATGGTGGGCGTGGTGATGTTCACCCTGGGGTTCGCCGGCTGCGTGGGGGCTCTGCGGGAGAATATCTGCTTGCTCAACTTTGTGAGTGGCCACAGAGACAAGAGTGGGATAGGATGCAATGGGGTACAGGCTCTGCTGGGCAGGATTATATGTTACCTGGTCAGAGCAGGTGGCAGCTCTTAGGAGCCTCCCCTAGGCCCCTGCCTGGGAGCAGGAGGCAGCCATTTGCACTCTACTGTCTAGAGAAGCTGGTTCCTCCCAGCAGGAGAATTAGGTACCCTCTGGTTTTTAGCCCTGGGTGGGAGGAGCCAGCTGCCTATAGGCCAGCTCTACTCCCCGCTCCTTTGCCTTTTATCTTCCTTCAGAAATTCTAAAAGAATTGTTTGTCTGCTACTGTCCTTTGCCCTTCCTGGCTAAGATCAAAAGATGTTGCAAGTAACCTTAAATCATTTCCCTCCTCCAAGGATGTGTGAGTCTGTTGGATGTACAAGTCAGAATCCCAAATTTCCTGGCAGAACTGCAGATTACTAAGAGTTTAGTTTTATATTTAGATACAAATTCATGTTTAGATTTATTCAGTTAAATAACACCTGGTGGGGAAAACACATTATCATATTTTGCAGTATATTGTTTGTTGACTTCATTAGATCAAGCTTTCTTTTTCTTGGACATAATTTTAAAAGCAAAACTATGGGCTTTTTGTCCTAATTTTTTCTCTGGAAAAAAAAAAGAAAAGCTATGTTTAGCATCTTGCTTTTATATGAACAGAGATTACGTTTTGGCAGGCCTTGTGTGCATATGTGTGTTTCCTTTTTCTTTTCTTTTCTTTTTTTTTTTTTTGATACCGAGTCTCGCTCTGTTGCCCAGGCTGGAGTGCAGTGGCGTGATCTCGGCTAACTGCAAGCTCCGCCTCCCGGGTTCACACCATTCTCCTGCCTCAGCCTCCCGAGTAGCTGGGACTACAGGCGCCCGCTACCATGCCTGGCTAATTTTTTTTTGTATTTTTAGTAGAGACGGGGTTTCACCGTGTTAGCCAGGATGGTCTCCATCTCCTGACCTTGTGATCCTCTCGCCTCGGCCTCCCAAAGTGCTGGGATTACAGGCGTGAACCACCGCGCCCGGCCGTGTGTATGCTTTTTCTTACTTTGAAAGATTACTCCAAATTGGCCGGTTGTGGCAAGCTGCTTAGTGTCTTATATGGCCAGTGATAATGTCTGTGAGAGCGCAGACTGCAGGCTGGGAGTCTGCCCTGATGGGATGTGGACCTGTGGCTGCACTGGCCCCTTGCAGAATGCCACCACTGCTTGTGGCCTGGGGCAGCTGAGCTTCTGGAGGGGTCTTTATGCTGACGATCATATACTTTCATGCAGAGTTGGTACAGATAACATTGGCACTTCCAGAATTGTAAAGAGCCCTGCAGGGAACTCACATGTCCTGCATGAACTATGTGACCTCAGGCAAGCTATGTACCTCGTGACATAGCCATAGTTTCCTCATCCCTAAAGTGAGGTAACAGATACGTAGGCACTCGATGGTTTTGTGTGTGTAGTGGGGAGTCATCAGATAATGTCTTGGGCACAGTGTCTGTCCTAAAGGAGCCGACACCCCAGGATGCCACCCTGGAGGGTCCAGGTGGAACTGCTGGGGTAGGACAGCCATTCATTCCTGTGATAGGGGTCTCCTCCTTGTCCAGGGAGGAGGGCTGCTTCATAGCAAGTGATTGACACATTGGCTTGGAGCTTTCTCACACTTTTTCACGCATTTGAGTGTTATCAGCAATGCAGTGACATGGGTAGGGATAAATAGCCCCTTTTTACAGATGAAGCGAAGTTGTGCAGAGTCACCCAGCTAACTCTAAGTGTGGGGTTCTGGGGCCCCGATGTGGGACTCTCAGGTGCAGAGCCCACGCTCTGCTGAGGATGGTGGTTCTGGGTCAGGTGGGGTTATGTGTGTGGGGGTGCAGGCTGGTGGGGTGGTGACTTCTGCTCCCGTCCCCTTCCCCTGCAGTTCTGTGGCACCATCGTGCTCATCTTCTTCCTGGAGCTGGCTGTGGCCGTGCTGGCCTTCCTGTTCCAGGACTGGGTGAGGGACCGGTTCCGGGAGTTCTTCGAGAGCAACATCAAGTCCTACCGGGACGATATCGATCTGCAAAACCTCATCGACTCCCTTCAGAAAGCTGTAAGCACCTCCCCAGCGGGCCCCCGATAGAGCATGCACCTCCCTGTGCTGCCTGGAGCTGAGTCTAGCAGGGGCATCAGGCCTTCTCTGTGGGTTGTCTGCCTGCAGCTTGGCAGACAGCAGGGAGGCCGTGGAACAAGCCACTCCACCTCTGGTCTGTTCCACTTTGCCGGCTTGTGGTTGCCTGGTGGGCCAGCCCTTTCCCATTGGGATTGGGCAGGCAAGTCCAGCTGTACCCGAGGCCACCCACCCCCCACGTGCCCGGCCCTCCTCTTTCGGCCCCAGATCTTTCCAATCCTGCCCAATAGCCATACCAGCTGCAATCCTCCTTAGGCGCTGCATACCGTAAGGCACAGCTTCTTCCCCCCGGCTCATGACTCACCATCTGACGCTATTCCTATCCCCTTCCTCCCCGGGACCTTTTCCCCTTCCTCCCTGGGACCTTTTCCCCTTCCTGTTTAAGAAGCCAGGGCTGCCTGGAGGAAGCTTTGTCAGATCTAGTG
Organism: Homo sapiens; assembly: GCF_000001405.40. Taxonomy (NCBI): domain Eukaryota; kingdom Metazoa; phylum Chordata; class Mammalia; order Primates; family Hominidae; genus Homo; species Homo sapiens. Next base: position 80,509,975 of record NC_000010.11, read on the forward strand.
GAATGTGACCTCCCTGGAATATGTGCCCAGGGGTTTGTCTAAGCAGTTCCAGGCTATGGCCTTTACTCCATCTGGTCCCCATCCCTCTTATCTCTCTCATGTGTGGCTGCACCTGGACGCTTGGACCATAGCTGTCACAGCCCCCTGGGGAGGAACCCACTCCTTGGCCATGTCAGCCTGTGCAATGCAAGGCTCTTGTTTGATCTGTGTGCTGACAGAAAGCCCAGCTTCCTTAAGAACTTTTCATGTGGAACACTTTGGTTTTGAGAAGAAAATAAATCAGAAACCATTAAAAATCTATGATTCACTCTCATTATTAACCAAAACTTGTTCACCTTTATTTCATGTATTATGGGATCCAGCAAAACCCATTTATGGGACCAAAGACCCTGCCTGTATTGTTATTACTAATGTGTATTAGTCTGTGAAAGTCACCAAATCCCCGCCATGTTTTGATGCCTCTCCTTTCTTTTCTGTTCAGTGCCACCGTCCTTTTTTCATTTTCACGTAGCCTTGGCTTGCCTGGTCTCAGCATGCTAGGTTGCGGTTCATCCCTGCATTGCCTTAAAAACATAGTTTTCTGCATTGACTTCTTTTTCTTTTAAAAATAAAACTTCTGGCCGGGCGCGGTGACTCACGCCTGTAATCCCAGCACTTTGGGAGGCTGAGGCGGGTGGATCACAAGGTCAGGAGATCGAGACCATCCTGGCTAACATGGTGAAACCCCATCTCTACTAAAAATACAAAAAATTAGTGGGGTGTGGCGGTGGGCACCTGTAGTCCCAGCTACTCGGGAGGCTGAGGCAGGAGAATGGTGTGAACCCGGGAGGCGGAACTGGCAGTGAGCCGAGATCACGCCACTGCAGTCCAGCCTGGTCAACAGAGCAAGACTCCGTCTCAAAAAAAAGATAAAATAAATAAATTAAAACAAAACAAAACAAAACTTCCCAGGGGAGGGATTCAGTAAATTACAGAGCTTCCTTGGAGTGAAATTTCAGGTAATCACTAAAGCAAGTGGAACCGTGGAGGTGTGGGGGAGACAATTTTACCTGAGAAGTAAGCAAAACAAAATAACCAACCAGAAATCACTGTTGTCATTTGTTGTGATTATTGCCATAACCATGTCAGCTGTAAGGGCAAATGCAAAGAAGTTTTTTAGGGGAAAAGACACTGTCAACTTCACAATGATGCTTTCAGTGTTTGGATTTTACACACTTTTTAGTCAAATAAGGATTTTCTTTGTAGCCACACCAGATGCGAGGAAGGGGAGGGCAGAGGCCCCAGGTGTGGGGCAGAGCTTTGATTGTGTTACCTTTCACCTTCATCGGACCTCTTTTCCTCAGGAGCAGACACTTAGCAGCTGTTTTTTGTAAAGGGGTGAAAAGGGGAATTCACTTGCAAGTTTCTCAGGGAGGAAGAACACTGCACACTAGGAAGTGTTCTCTTGTGGCAAGTAGAGGACCACACCAAGGTGCCGAGGGGGCCACAAAGGAGAGGACGCCACTCTCCTGTCTGAGGAGGCTGGAAGGAGGCGTCTCCTTTGAGGAGGCTGGGAAGAAGAGCAAGCTCCCTGCTAAGGAGGGCCAGGGCTGGGTATGTTGTGCCTGGCAGTGGGGCCAGAGGGCTCCACTGAGCCAGCCATGTGGGTTGGACAGAGGAGGCACCGTGGCCCGGAGATACCTTCACTGCCATTTCCTTTTTGTTATTATTTTCTTTAACACATCAAAAGGGCAGGTCCTCTCTCTCTCTCTCTCTCTCTCTCTCTCTCTCTCTCTCTCTCTCTCTCTCTCTCTCTCTCCCCTTTTTTCTTTCTCTCCTTTTCTCTTTCTCTCTCTCTTTCCTTTCTTTCTTTCTGATTGGGGGTGGGGGTCTTGCTGTGTTGCCCAGACTTGTTTCCAACTCCTGGGCTCAAACCATCTTCCCACCTCAACCTCCCGAGTCACTGAGGTTACAGGCCTGAGCTACTACGCCTAGCTGTTTTCTTCTTAAAGGGCTGCCTGGGTTGCCAGCTTAGCATCTCTGCACATGGGAGGTAGGGGGCGGGCCTTGATTTCTCTGCATGGTAGATGCCGGCAGACTTAGCCTGGCATCACTATGAATGATGCCCTATGCTGGGCAGCCATGGCCCTGTCTTGGAGCCCCTAACAGTTCTGGCTTTTGTGGTTGCAGAACCAGTGCTGTGGCGCATATGGCCCTGAAGACTGGGACCTCAACGTCTACTTCAATTGCAGCGGTGCCAGCTACAGCCGAGAGAAGTGCGGGGTCCCCTTCTCCTGCTGCGTGCCAGATCCTGCGGTGAGTTGGCTTGTGCTGGGGCACAGGGAGCCCGCCCTTCCTGAAGCCCAGAAGCTTTCCTGACTCCTCCAGTGCTCTAGGATACTTCTCTGTCATGGAGGTCTGAGGAGCAGGTGTGCTTTCTCCACACCCTCCTCAAGGCTGCCTCAGCTCTGAAATCCGATATGTGTACATTCTAGGAACACTGCTTGCATGACCCACCCTGGCCTTGGTGTTCTGGGTGAGGCAGGAGAAAAACAGTATTATTTCTACCTGGAGGGCTGTCACTTGCAGCTGGCCAAGAGCTATGAGTGAAATAAGGCCCGCTTATCCCTCTTCCCTGTCCTTTTTCTGGAGCAGATTCCTAGAACTCAACAGTGCACGGGGGCTGTGGGTACACATCATTAACTGGGGAACAGTAGTGGAGAATTATTTTCTTTCTTTTTCTCTTTCTTTTATTTTTGAGACAGGGTCTTGCTGTGTCGCCCAGGCTGGAGTGTAGTGGCATGATCTTGGCTCACTGGAACCTCTGTCTCCTGGGTTCAAGCGATTCTCCTGCCTCAGCCTCCTGAGTAGCTGGGATTACAGGTGCACGCCACCACACCCGGCTAATTATTTTCTGTTTGTTGTTGTTGTTGTTGTTGTTGTTGTTTGGTTTTATTTTAGAGACAGTGTCTCACTCTGTCACTCAGGCTGGAGTGCAGTGGTGCGATCTCAGCTCACTGTACAACCATTGCTTCCCCGGGCTCAAGCAATTCTCCAGCCTCAACCTCCCAAGTAGCTGGGACCACAGGCTTGAGCACCACACCTGGCTAATTTTTGTATTTTTTGTAGAGATGGGGTTTCACCATGTTGCCCCGGCTGGTCTTAAACTCCTGGGCTCAAAGCGATCTGCCCATCTTAGCCTCCCAAAGTGCTGGGATTACAGGTGTGGGCCGCTGTGCCTGTCCTGTCCTTTCTTTACCTATTGGCATTCCCAATCCAAGGCCAACGTCCTTGGGTTCCAGAAGCTGGGTTCTTGGGGTGAACTGTGAAGGAGCTCTGAATTTTGCCTGAACTGAGCCTGAGTAGAACTGGGCCAGTTGCCAGCTCTCGGTGCAGTTATGCAAAGCCTGGTCCTGGGTTACAGGCTTTGAGAAGGCAGAGCATCACCACTATTATATGGGCAAGTTCTGCAGCCCAGGAGAGGCTCAGATTTGCTGAAGCTGCACAGCTCTTCTGAGGTCTCCACTGCGACTGTGAAATGTACCAGTCTTGTAAGTGTTGCTTTTAGCACATATAGTTCTTACCTCCAAGTATAGGTCTTACCTCCTAGCAAACTGTGGCCCCCAGGCCAAATCTGGCTTGCTATTTTTCCATGACCTGTGAGTTAAGAATGCATTCAGATGTTTTTAAATGGTTGGAAATAAATCAAAAGAAGAATAATATTTTGTGGTACGTGAAAATTATATGAAATTCAAATTTCAGTGTCCATAAAGTTTTCTTGAAATACAGCCATTCCTGTTTGTTTACAGATTGTCAGTGCCGGCTCTCATGCAACAAAAGCGGAATTGAGTCTGTGTCTGAAGTACTCACTCTCTAGCCCTTCACAGAGAAAGTTTGCCACCCTGTCCTGGTCTGAAGGATTAGTTGGTGGCATGATTGAAGGACATGAGCTGTAATGGAATTTGCACAAATGTTTGCTAGTGTTTGGTTGTGACTTTACTAGAGCCTCTTAGCACCAGCTTCTTGAGACGCCAGAAGCAACTAATTTTTCTGCTTTTCTTGCAGCAAAAAGTTGTGAACACACAGTGTGGATATGATGTCAGGATTCAGGTGAGAACTCCCATGTATACAACTTGAAGAGTTCTTTAGGTTTTATTCCCTGTGGTTCAACATTCTGATTTAGCACGAGTGCAAATTGAAGTGGGAAAACTCAGGGCAGTGAAGCTCTTGATGCCACCTAAGCTGAGCATAGGCACAGGGTCACATACACTGCTTCCTGAGCTGGCGGCAGGACTCCTGGGAGCAGTAATGGTGATTCTAAGCCTTGTGAGCTGCAGTCCCAACATCTAGGAGTTGCTGCATTTAAAGAGGTGGGATGGAAGTTTTGAGGGACAAAGACTGCATTTTTAGGAGGCTCCTTGGCATCCCAGAAGACGTCTCTCGTTAAGGGGACAGCTGCAGGAGTGTAGGTGCCTTGTTCTGGCCTCCGTGTGGAGGCAGTAGTGACAAAGAGGGAGGCAGGCCTGGGGCAGGGGCGAGGCTCTGTCCTCCAGGACTTCCTTTAGGCTGTAGGGAGTGTGCTCTTAGATGCAAAGAGAAGGAAGACCCCACCCCACTCCAGTCCTTGTTCTAGTGGTCTTTGGTGATATGAATGACTGCTGTTCTAAAAGGGAGGAGTCTCGAGGAATCTTCAGAGACCCCACCTGTTAGCCGTGGATATGAGGGATGTGTCCCTACAGCTTGGGGAACTGTCCTCCTTTAGGGACCTGCATTTCACAGGGAGAAAGTGCTGTAAACTGAATGTGTGTGTCTCTCCAAAATTCACATGTTGGAACTTAAACTCCAATGTGATGGTATTTAAGAGGTGGGGTCTTGGGGAGGGGATTGGGTCATGAGGGCAGAGTCCTTATGAGTGGGATGAGTGTCCTTATGTAAGAGGCCCAGAGAGCTTATTTGTCACTCCACTGTGTGAAGACACAGTGAGAGGGTGCCATCCATGAACCAGAAAGTGGGCCCTCATCCGACACTGAATTTGCCAGTGTCCTGATCTTGAACTTCCCGGCCTCCAGGACTGTGAGAAATAAATTTCTGTTGTTTATAAGCCACCTAATCTATAGTATTTTATTCTAGTTGCCTGAATGGACTAAGATAAGAACCTATATCAACATCAGCTTCCCTAATTATGATTTTTTTTGCCACTTATATTAATTTGCTAAGGCTGCTGTCACAACATACCACAGACAGAAATTTAAGCCACAGCAGGCATTTATTTTCTCACAGTTTGGAGGCTAGAAGTCCAAGATCAAGGTGCTGGCGAGGTGAGGTGGGTGCCTTCAGAGGGCTGTGATGGAAGGGTCTGTTCCAGGCCTCTCTCCTGGCTGCAGGTGGCTGTCCTCTCCCTGTGTCCTCACGTGGGCTCCCCTCTGTGCATGTCTGTGTCCTGATCTCCTCCTCTTAGCAGGATGCTCTTCATATTGGATTAGGGGGCACCCTGATGGCCTCATTTTAGCATAATTACCTCTGTAAAGAGCCTGTCTACAAATACAGTCACCTTCTGAAGTCCTGGGGGTTAGGACTTCAGTGTATGGATTTTGAGGACACAATTTAGCTCCTAACACCTCTAAAATTAGGGGCTAATACTCCATCATGTTGCCATGGAGGAGGCTGATAGGTGTGAGGGGGCTGGGGCCGATTGCCCTGTGTGGGGTGGGCAGGGCTGGGGTGTGTGCTGGGATGGTTACTGACACCCCACCGGGGTTAGCAGTGGAGGGAGCTGGTTGGCTGGCGACTGTTGCCTGCTGGCTCTGTCTCCTGGAGCTGAGCTTACTGGTGGGATGCCCGCTCCGAGAAGCACCCTTCTTCTCTTCTTAGGAGACTCTGGACCCCCTTCTCCAGGTTTCTCTCCCTTTAGAGGCACATTTTCCTCCAAGCCTTCAAGCCCCTTCTCTTTCTCCAGATGTGGATGGTGGGGAAGGGTATCTTGAGAAAGTTGGGCTTTAAATCTCTGGAGACCTGAAAGGAAACAGCCAGGGAGCCTTTGGTCAGACAGGTGGTGCGATGGCACAGTGCCCAGCGAGGGGCAGAGGCTGAGAGGAGCTGACGAGCATCTCCTGGAGAGTCCTCCTTGCCTGCCTCCTGGATCCCTCGTTCCCACCCTGCTTTGCCCTGCTCCTTACCAGAGCTCACTAGGGGATCAGGTGGGGACATCGTGTGTGCCAAAGGCTCAGACCCCTGTGGTGTTTTCCTGCAGCTGAAGAGCAAGTGGGATGAGTCCATCTTCACGAAAGGCTGCATCCAGGCGCTGGAAAGCTGGCTCCCGCGGAACATTTACATTGTGGCTGGCGTCTTCATCGCCATCTCGCTGTTGCAGGTGTGTCCCAGGAGCCTATAGGATTGGCAGGTGGCCTTTTTTCATTTGAGATTGGGCCCTTAACATAGAGTGCATGGGTCCAGTTTGGGTATGGTATTAAGGAAGCTTGCAGAAGAAAAAAAGGGATTCAACTGGATGTCCAAGGCTGAGAGAGTGTATGCGTGTAAGTGTATTGGGGAGGAGAATGGTGGCTTCCATAAACGCTACCTATAGGGGGGCCCTCTGGGCGGGGGCAGGCTGGGAGGGGCTTGTGGCCCTGCACAGGTCCTGGTGGCAGCCCTCTCCAGAGGGCCCAATGGGCTGCAGAAGGGTCACTGCCTATCTGGAGGTAGGTCAGGAGTGTGCTCGGGGTGGGCCATCAAGTGCTGCAGATGGGGAGGTGAAACCCTTGGTCACCTGGGGCCTGAGGGTGGCCTGAGGCTCACGTGTGTGCACTTGCCCCAGGACCTCTCCTCCTGTCTCTGGCCCCTGGGCTGGAGTTGTCAGGTATCTTCCCTGTCCATGAGACATCCTCTGAGGCCTGCTGCCGTTTGTGGCATCCTTTCCTCTCCCAGGCTGTGCTTGTTCATTTGAACCAGGTTGCACATGTGGGAGGATGTTGGTGGCTGAGCAGGCAGTGAGGCCTGGGGTGACTGGGCTGGTTGGTGACTGCTAGGAGAAGAACTGGCAGAGAAAGTCAAGAATTCAGTGATCAGAGAAACCAGGAGTCTTTCCAGTGCTGTTCAGGGCTTCCAAGAAGCCGCAGCTTCTGGGTCCACTGATGCATTTCTTGTGTGGAAAATAACACCATTTAGAAAGTGTTTGACTCTGTTTTTGCCTTGAAGAGGGTGACTGAGGTAGACCCAGGGCCACCAGCCACCCACACATGCCTTCCTCCTTCAAGGAAGACTAAGAAATAGGAGGAAGCAACTGGAAAAGGAAAGAAAAAAGTTATTTGCAAAATAGGCAAGGGAAGAATCAGACTTCAGAAGGACTGACTAGTCAAATTAGAACCACACAAGAATTTAAAGGGAAAAAAAGCCATTTCCAGAGGTCACCAAGTTCGTGTTCATCTGTTCACGTTAGAAGAACATCAGTCTCCTCTCATGATTTCCCTGCTCACCAAGGTTGGGATGGATCTTCAGACATTATTAGCACAGCCAAAATTGGGGATGGCCTTGGTTTTATTATGGAATCGACGTTTACAGGAAACATTCAAGATTTATTATTTTGGGAATGAGAACCAGTCAGCGTGACCCTGTTATTTTTGGTTTAACCCAGGGACAGGCGTGTCCTGCCCCATGGCTTGTGACATACTTAATCATGTTGGAGGCAGGACAGAGTGTCTGTTTTGCTTGTGGTGCCTGTGGTTTGCCTCTTCTAGGCTTTGGGAATGTAACAGACTAGACCCCAGGACCCCTTTTTTGCGGGAGGGGTGGCTGTGCTGTGCCACTCGCTCTGCGGTGCTGTCTCTACGTCTTCAGTCGCAGCTGGGGGGTGAGGAGAGGCGTGCAGTGGGAGCTCCCAACCCCACCCTCCGCTCCCTGCCCTCTGCCTTTGGGCCCCAGCAATGGCCGCTGACTCTGCTGGTGTTGGTTTCAGATATTTGGCATCTTCCTGGCAAGGACGCTGATCTCAGACATCGAGGCAGTGAAGGCCGGCCATCACTTCTGAGGAGCAGAGTTGAGGGAGCCGAGCTGAGCCACGCTGGGAGGCCAGAGCCTTTCTCTGCCATCAGCCCTACGTCCAGAGGGAGAGGAGCCGACACCCCCAGAGCCAGTGCCCCATCTTAAGCATCAGCGTGACGTGACCTCTCTGTTTCTGCTTGCTGGTGCTGAAGACCAAGGGTCCCCCTTGTTACCTGCCCAAACTTGTGACTGCATCCCTCTGGAGTCTACCCAGAGACAGAGAATGTGTCTTTATGTGGGAGTGGTGACTCTGAAAGACAGAGAGGGCTCCTGTGGCTGCCAGGAGGGCTTGACTCAGACCCCCTGCAGCTCAAGCATGTCTGCAGGACACCCTGGTCCCCTCTCCACTGGCATCCAGACATCTGCTTTGGGTCATCCACATCTGTGGGTGGGCCGTGGGTAGAGGGACCCACAGGCGTGGACAGGGCATCTCTCTCCATCAAGCAAAGCAGCATGGGGGCCTGCCCGTAACGGGAGGCGGACGTGGCCCCGCTGGGCCTCTGAGTGCCAGCGCAGTCTGCTGGGACATGCACATATCAGGGGTTGTTTGCAGGATCCTCAGCCATGTTCAAGTGAAGTAAGCCTGAGCCAGTGCGTGGACTGGTGCCACGGGAGTGCCTTGTCCACTGTCCCCCTGTGTCCACCAGCTATTCTCCTGGCGCCGGAACTGCCTCTGGTCTTGATAGCATTAAGCCCTGATGGCGCCGGTGGCGCGGTGGGCATGGTTCTTCACTGAGAGCCGGCTCTCCTTTTCTTAAAGTGTGTAAATAGTTTATTTATAGGGGTAAGAATGTTCTCACACCATTTCACTTCCTCTTCCTCTCCTCCAGCATTCTCCTCTGAGCAGCCTTAGATAGTGTCCATGGCTGGAGCCGACCCTTTGAGTCCCCTTGAGTGTCTTAAGAACCAGCCCACAACAGCCTCTCTTTCTCCTCCACATACTGCAGCCTCCCTCCATGCATCCCACATACAAGCACTCCCCCACTCCCCAGCGTGGCCTCACTGTCTTCTGGTCTTGGTGCTACTGAAATTGTCACCCAGAATTTGAATCCTGACCCTCCCCACTGCAAGCCCAGGGAGCCCCAGCCCAAGATGGCCAGCCTGAAACTGTTGGCCAGGGCTCCTCTTGTGGCCATGTACCCAGGGCTGGCTGGCCTGCCATTTGCCTCTCCCCGGAGACAGCCGTTCTTCTGCAACCACACCCCGTGCCTAGCCACAACCCCAGGCTGCAGCTGCTCAGAAGCTCCAGGCATTTTGTTTCTGGTGACCGCCCCTAATGGGATATCGGTGATCACTGGTCCACCCTTCCTGTCAGGGCTTTTCTGGGGCTGCTCTTGGAAATGAAGTCTTAAGTACTGAATAACTCCCCTGGGGATAGCTGGGGCATTTGTCTAGCTGGGCTACTTTCTAACACTTTGCCATAGCTCAGACCACTTCTCATCGTTCAGGGATGGACTGCAACCTTAATTTACTTGCCGGAGTGTACATTCTAGTGTGGTGTATACTGGTGGCTGTTGATGATGATTTTTTTTTTTTTACACAATTCTCTGTAGACTAGGAGAAGAATGCTTGTGTTTTTCGGAAGTGTGATGCTTCTCTTTGACTGCCAAACTCTTTTATGGAATATATCTTTATATTAATGCTGTTTTGGTCATTTTTGTTTGGGGTCACTATTGAGATATTGCTAAGCATCTCAGTGGTAAACGCGGCTGCCAGAGGAACCAAGGGATAGGGTATGTAGACCTTACAGAAGGATGGATGGTAAAGGCAGTCCATCATCAGCACAATCTGACTTACATTTCATTGAGTAATTTTTTTTTTTTTTAAGATTCTGTATGGCAGCACTTTCAGTTGCCCTTGTGTGCCGGCCACAGCCGCACAAGTTGGCTTGTGGTTTATCCCCCGCTATAAGTGAGAGCTGGAGAAACTTCAACTCCATAGGTCTAGAGGAAACATTGTTTTAGGTTATTTCTGTCCACCCCTGTGCGATACTATTTATTGATCCAAGCAGAAGAGCTTGGGGACACTGAGTCGAAGTGGGGACATGGGATTGAAGCCTGGGCACTGCTGCTGCATGAGCTGTGTGTCCTGGGTGTGCCGGCCTTTCTGTGAAGGGGGTTGGTGGCAGTGCCCACCTCACTAGATGCCTCTGACCCAGCCTCCCCTGGGGGAGTGGGTGGCCACAGACCCTCCCTGCCAGAGCTCCTGGAAGGCTCCTGCAGGCCTGACCCATCTATTCCTGTAGACCTGGTTTAGGATGAAGTCTCGGTGCGATTTTTGCAGAGTTGGGTTTATCTTTCAACTATAGACCCTTCTGGCTGTTCTCAGCCATATCATGTGACTCTGAATAGTTGGATGAGGAATGGAAAGAAAGCAAGGATGAGAGCCGGTCACGTGGCAGTCTCCGCCCAGCATCGGCTGTCCGCACAGAGGCACAGGGCAGGCCTCCTGTGCACTCCCCACCTAGCACTGGCCTGTCCTGAATCCCCGCCTTCCCTGGTTGGAGGCCAGCTGTGGCATTTGCACCCTCTTCTCACCTCACCATGCACATGCTAACTTTAAAGCCTTGGGGTCTTTCCTGTACCCCCTCCTCAACCCTGGTCCACCCCCTCTCAGGATCTTGTCAACGTTATTTTTCCTGTCCCGTCTTCCTATCGCTGGCCTTCCTTTCCCATCCTAAAAACTTGCCGAGGCCCTATGGCTCCCTCCCTTTCTTTCCCAGGCAGCTTCTTATCTGGGCTGTCTGTACCCCTTCCTTTGCACCACCCACCATGCCCCACGTAGCTGAAAGCTGCTTATCCCAATTGTCAACTCTGGCCTTCTTCAGCCTCTGTAGCACCAGACACTGCACCTCCTGAATGTCCTCTGCTTCTCTGCTTCAGAGGCCCAGGCTCGCCAGTTCTCTGACCTCTCCCATATGTCTGCTTAGGACTCTGCTGCAGCTGTCCTCACCAGCCTCCGGGGAATCCCACTACCCACAGGGCAGGGCTGTGGGCTGGGCTGAAAAACCATCTGCATGGTCCACAAGAAGCCTGGCACTGGGTTTCCCCATGAATAACAATGAAAATTAATGGATGCACAACCTTCCTGGAACGTGGAATTTCTCTGGGAGATTCCATGCAGAGGCCACTGGGGAGGTGGCAGGCATGCATGTGACTGTAGGTGGCTGCAGTGTTGGAAGGCTCCCAGCAGAGCAGAGAGGGTGTCAGTCTCATCAGGGAACCCACCTGATGGCTTCTCAGCCAGCAGTCTCAGAGGAACATAGACGACTGCTGAGAAAGGAGGGAGGCAGCAGTGGTCCCAGCACCTGAGGCATCCTGCTGTCATGGGAAGGTCTCCGCCCAAATGTCAGATGCATCAGCCTGTCACCCGCTGGTCCAGAGCTTTCAGCTGTACTGGTAGGGGGTGGGTGGTGGAGTGCTGAATGACCTTCACAGGTGGGCCTTTCCAGCTCTAGGGTCTTACGGGTGTCGGTCCACAGAACCACGGTTTTTAGGTTGTGTGTCCGGGGCTATGGGAACCTGTCCCCCATGATGGATCTTGGTAGAGACACTTCCCTCTGTCATCGTGCCCAGGAGGATGCTGCAGGTGACTACCTGCAGCCCTGTTCTCATTCATTTGGATGCCCTCCAGAAATCTGGGGAGCCATACACCTTTAGAGCCTTTTTTGCTCCTTATCAAGTTGGCAAGGCTTGGCCAATTCCTGTTCAAGGCTGCATTAAAGGCATGTTCACCATCCTGGCTAATACGGTGAAACCCCTTCTCTACTAAAAATACAAAAAAATTAGCCGGGCTTGGTGGCGGGTGCCTGTAGTCCCAGCTACTCCGGAGGCTGAGGCAGGGGAATGGTGTGAACCCAGGAGGCGGAGCTTGCAGTGAGCCGAGATCACACCACTGCACTCCAGCCTGGGCTCAAAAAAGAAAAAAAAAAAAAAAAAAAGGCCCGTTCATTCTCAAATGCTTTTGGCGTCTCCAGGGTGCCTCAGGAAAACATGAAGTGGGCATTGTAGAACTTGGGGCTACTGTGTAACTTTGGAAGAAAAAGTTAAGGGTACTTTTAAGTGGATACTGTTTTGATGAAATTGCCAACTTCAGGGAGCCCAGCTTGGAGAAGGAGGACGTGAGTATTCCTTACAAGGCTCCGAAACAATTCTTTCTTCACTTAGTTTTCTTTCTGTGCTCTGCATCTTATATTCCAGCAGGGTCTTCCAATGCATGGTTTAATAACTACTAGAACTGGCCAGGTGCAGTGGCTCACGCCTGTAATCCCAGAACTTTGGGAGGCTAAGACAGGCAGATCACTTGAGGCCAGGAGTTCGAGACCAGCCTGGACAACATGGTGATACCCAGTTTCTACTAAAAATACAAAAATTAGTCGGGCATGGTGATGTGCACCTGTAGTCCCAGCTGCTCGGGAGGCTGAGGCAGGAGAATCGCTTGAACCCGGGAGACAGAGGTTGCAACGAGCCAAGATCGAGCCACTGCGCTCCGGCCTGGGTGACAGGAGACTCCATCTCAAAAAATAAAATTAAAAAAAAACTACTACAATAAATTATCACCTTGGACTGTATAAAACAACTTTTAAACTAGTCTTTTTAAAAAGTACACTTAAATAAAAATCTAAACATAAGAGAATGTAAAGTGAAAAGTGAAAGTATGTCTTCTGTTACGCAGAGGTAACTACTATTAGGAATCCTTCCTGAAAATGTCCATGCATCTACTCAGGTCATCACACCCATGGAATCATTTTACATACTATTTTATGAGTGTTACTTAATATACTGATCCACAGTGCGTTTTCACGGTCACGCCATCAGTTGTAGGAGTGTGCCAAGAACAGATGGGCCTTGCCTTTGTACCAGAGGAGTCCATTTACAGTTGCAGGTAATAGAAAACCCAATTCAGACTGGCCTAAACAATGAGGGGAGGTTTTGGCTCTTGAAACTGGAAAGTCCCAAGGTGGGGTGAGTTTCAGGTTTGGGTTGATCCAAGTGGCTCAGTGACGTCAACAGGATCTTGTTTCCATTTCTCTGCCTTCCACAGCCTCCCCTTCATCTATGGTGGAGGGAAGGAGTCTACCACAGACAAACCCCGAGCCTCCCCCTGATGGGTGGTGTGGTGGTGAAGCCAGCAAGGGAAGGGATCCCCGGACACACCCCTCCTCATGCTTTATCCCACTGAAACCATGCGGCTGTGAAATGCAGCATCCTCCAGGAGGGGGATGAAGGCCGGGGATGCTGTCAGCTATTGCCATTGCACTTCTGTGGATGGGTGTTACAGTTTTTTGCAGGGTTTTGCACTTACAAGGACATATATATATATATATAAACTACAGTGTTATTGGAATTGCTTCTTACAGTTTGTAAGAAAAAAACATGTTTTTAGAGGAGTTCTCCTGGGAGGTGGGATCACATTTTTTTTTTTTTTTTTTTTTGAGACGGAGTCTCGCTCTGTGGCCCAGGCGGGAGTGCAGTGGCGCAATCTCGGCTCACTGCAAGCTCCGCCTCCCGGGTTCACGCCATTCTCCTGCCTCAGCCTCCCGAGTAGCTGGGACTACAGGCGCCCGCCACTACGCCCGGCTAATTTTTTTTGTATTTTTAGTAGAGACGGGGTTTCACCGTGTTAGCCAGGATGGGGGATCACATTTTAATAAGTAGGTACTCAGGGCTGGGGTGTACCTGTTGCTGCCTGACCACTGCTGGTGTGTGTGGGTATAAGGTGACAAAACCTCCTACCCCTGTGAGGTTGTTTCAAGGATTAAATGAGTTGAGATGGGTAAGCATCTAACAAAGATCCAGATTATTTAGTATGCATCCCCTGAATTATTGCTAACATAATTTTAATGATTGGGGAATTTTATCTGTGGCTGCCAGTCCCTACGAGAGAGCTGCCTGGGTCACATGTCAGATAGCTCAAGCTTTGAATCACTGAAACGAAACGGTCCACTTCCCTGTCCCTTTAGGAACAAGGCTTCGAGGTCTGTGGCAAGCCTCAGCAGGCATTTGGAGTTCAAGGTCTGTTCTCTTTCTGTGCCATAGAGGTGGGGAGACAAGGTAGGGTGTTGCTTCTTGCCTGGAGCGCAGATGCTACCAGAAACCAACACAACCAAAGTTGCCCGGGAGCCCCCAGAAGCAGCAGAGTGGCCATCAACTGCCAAGGGGCCAGGGTAGGCCACAGAGGCCTGGGGCCCAGGAGGGATGGTCTGTGGGGAGAAAGGGGATTATTGTGAACATCAACGCTGGGGATAATGTGCCCTGAAGACAGCAGCATATCACGTTTGGACGGTTGGTGGACCCCATCTGGTCCCACTCATAAGGAGAACAGAGGCCCTGGGGTGTGCTGGGACTTGCCTGAGGCCTCAGACCGGGACTGGGTGCTCCTCCGCACCTCCTATGAGGGAGGGTGTCCGTGTCTGTGAGGACAGCTCAGCAGGGCTGGGAACCTGGGGGCAGTGCTGGGGGACATGTGTGAGACTAGCGTGTGTGGGCCTTGCTCGGCTTGCCCTGGTGCCCTGAGAAAAACCTGGTATTTGAAAATACACATGGACTGCTGGAAGGTCAGGAAATCCAGGGTTTTGTTCTGAGGCAGTGGAAGTGTTACCGTGAGCCTGTGTTGGCCTCTCTCCTCACTCCACCTGCAGCCAATTCAGCCACACTGCCTTTGCATGGAACCCAGGGTTGCAGGCCGCGTGTGTAGATGCTGATTTAGGCCCAAGCACTCAGCTGTCAGCAGGAAGGACCATAGTGTTTTCTTCTAGTTTTAGATATGCACTCGTTCTGTGTTTTAAAGTCACAGCTGTGAGCCAATATGGGAAGAAGTGAAGTGGCCTCTAGGAGGGACTGAGCACCCTGTCCTTGGAGGTATGCAAGCCCAGGCTACACCCTTCCTGTCTGGGATGATATGGCTGGGGGTGGGCTTTGTGCTGCGTGGACCATGGCAAGCCTTTCCATCTCTGAGAGGTAGTGGTCCTTCCCGTGCCTTCTGTTAAAGATAATTTTTTAAAAAAAGGCATAACTCATATATATTACATGTACACATGTCAAAGATTTTATTTAACTCAGTAATTGAGAGTGCTGCTAAGATTAACAGCCAGTTCAAAAGAGAAATCACAATGAACCATAAATCTGTATGGAGTAAAGGAAAGTTGAAACTGGCTGGGGTTTTTTTTTTTTTTTTTTTTTTTGAGGAGAAAGGTCAATTGAATCTTATTCGTATAATATGCACATCCATAGACAAGAATTATTTTGCATTAACTCTACAACTTAGTTGTAAAAATAGCTCAAAGGCAGTGAAAGACTAGAATCAGATAATTGGAAGGGTGCACCCTAAGCAATGCATAGTTCTATTTTCTTTCTTTTTTTTTTTGAGACAGAGTTTCCCTCTTGTCACACAGGCTGGAGCGCAGTGGTGCAATCTTGGCTCATTGCAACCTCTGCCTCCCGGGTTCAAGTGATTCTCCTGACTCAGCCTCCTGAGTAGCTGGGATTACAGGCGCATGCCACCACAACTGGCTAATTTTTGTATTTTTAGTAGATACAGGGTTTCACTGTGTTGGCCAGGTTGGTCTCATACTCCTGACCTCAGGTGATCCACCCGCCTCGGCCTCCCAAAATGTTGGGATTACAGGCGTCAGCCACCACGCCCGGCCCCAATGCATAGTTTTTTACTGAAGACAACCAGAATCTCTGTTGCTTATTCCAAATTTCCTTCCACCACTTGTCCATCCAGCAGAGCCACTTTTAAAATAGGACACAGGCAGAAATTTAAAGGAGTCAATATCTCATGGTGAAAAGTGAATCCTGAGGGTTAGAGCATCCACCAGGTGCCCTAGGTAAGGGCCAGCCACTCTGGGAGGCAGCCCGGGGCACTCACTGTCCTCTCAGTAGTAAATGAAATCACTCAGGCCATGTCTGCTACCCAGAGAGCCTGAGTGTCCTCAAATGCTTGTTCTGCCTCTCCATCCACTCCTGCAGACACCTCAGTGGCTGCATCCCAAACCGCTGAACTTTGCTTCTCTTTCTCCAACCCCCAATTCCACCCACATCCAAAACTGCTCTGCCCCCTATTCCCATCTCAGCTGAGGGTACTATCATCCACCCTGTGGCCACATCCAGGAATGTGTGTATCACCTGGGCTCTGAGGATGACATCAGCTCTTCTAAGTCAACAGAATGTCGGGTCTGTTCTAAAAGTCTCATCTGACAAGGAGATCTTTAAGGCTTTACTCCCTTAAAGGCTTTACTCCCATCATGATGGGATAACCATCATGATGGATTTCAGTGTCATTCTGTCTTTTTCTTCGGAATGATTCCTGGGACTCGCCTTGTTTGCAACATGTGCATTGAAATATCTTTTCAACATAACTTTGTTCTTAATTGTGTTTACTTCCTTTCTCTGTGAATCTCAGTGATTCCTGGAAGCTGTGGTTGGTGGGGGATGGGGTGGGAGGACTTTGGTAGTATAAAAGAGTACCTGCAATGAATGTTCTAAGAAACTGGAGTGTTGGGGTCCTCCAGCCCTTGGCTGGTAAACTCTCCACTCCTTCCTCTTTGCAACACAATTCTCATAACTGGCAAAGGTGTGCATGTAAAATTTGTGACTGTAGTCTGAGGTTTTTTTTCCCTGTACAATTCCGCCTTCCCCCCTGTAAGCCTGTACCAGGAGAGGTCTCAGCTGCCTTGGAGGCGGTGAGACACGTGGGTGCTCACTGTGGCCCTCAAGGGTGAGGCTGGCACTGGGGCATCTGGGGCCAGAAGTCCTCCTTTAGTCCCAAGTCTCTGCCACTCAAGTGCATCAGTGAGAGGTCCTCATAGAAAATCTACTGTGGGCACAAAGCTGCCAGGCTGATGGGGGTGGGGAGCAAACGAACACCCTTTTCCCCTTTTACACCAGAGGAAAGAGACTTAGACTGAGGAACTTGCCTGCTGCCAGACAGCTGGGAGGTGGTAGAACCGGGCTTACAGCCCAGGGTTTCCACTCTAGGAACTCTTCTCCCTTCCTCTGATGACACTAACTCGCAGGCCATGATCAATGAGCAACGATGTAGGCAGGCACTGACGAGGCACAGCAGGAAGGCAGCTCAGTGCCCATGACGGCCAGGAA
Organism: Homo sapiens; assembly: GCF_000001405.40. Taxonomy (NCBI): domain Eukaryota; kingdom Metazoa; phylum Chordata; class Mammalia; order Primates; family Hominidae; genus Homo; species Homo sapiens. The sequence continues at coordinate 80,527,092 of NC_000010.11, forward strand.
CTGGGTACCATTTCCTCAGCAAAATGGGATAGTAACTCCCACACTGCAGCTACGCACTTGGGCAGTGGTTCACAAGGCCAGCAGCCACAACATCACCCCAGACCAGCAGCAGCTGCAGCATTACCCCCAGCACTTGTTAAAAGATGCAAATTCAGGCCAGGTGTGGTGGCTCGTGCCTGTAATCCCAGTACTTTGGGAAGCCAAGGCGGGTGGGTCACCTGAGGTCAGGAGTTCGAGACCAGCCTGGCCAATGTGGTGAAACCCTGTCTCTACTAAAAATACAAAAAATGACCCGGGCATGGTTGTGGGCGCCTGTAATCCCAGCTACCCAGGAGACCGAGGCAGGAGAATCACTTGAACCCGGGAGGCAGAGGTTGCAGTCAGCCGAGATTGTGCCATTACACTCCAGCCTGGGCAACAAGAGCGAAACTCTGTTTCAATAAATAAATAAAAATGCAAATTGTATGCCCCTTCCTTCAGGCCTATGGGACCAAAAACTGGGATGGGGCCCAATAAAATGTTTTAACCAGCCCTTCGGTGGTTACAGAAGGATAGAGCCAGAATAGACTAACCACTGTAACAAACATTACCTATACTTGGGAGGCTTTGAAAAATGTTTATTTAGCCGGGTGCGGTGGCTCACGCCTGTAATCCCAACACTTTGGGAGGCTGAGGCGGGCGGATCACGAGGTCAGGAGATTGAGACCAGCCTGGCTAACACAGTGAAACCCCGTCTCTACTAAAAATACAAAAAATTAGCCAGGTGTGGTGGCAGGTGCCTGTAGTCCCAGCTACTCTGGAGGCTGAGGCAGTAGAATTTCTTGAACCCAGGAGGCGGGGCTTGCAGTAAGTCGAGATCACGCCACTGCACTCCAGCCTGGGTGACAGAGTGAGACTCCATCTCAAAAAAAAAAAAAAAGGAAAGAAAAATGTTTATTTTTTTGCTCATGCCACAGTCTCTGGTAGTTGCTGGGAACTAGGGTGGGGGATTCTCTGCTCCACACAGTCTTTCATGGACCCAGGTTCCTTTCCTGTTGTGGGTCCAGCCTCCTGTAGCTGTTGGAGGCATCTCTAGTCAGCTGGTGGTTGGGGAAGAGGTGAGGATCAGGGAGGGAAGATGGAGAGTACTCTGCTTGTTCTCACATTCTGCTGGCCAGAACTCACAAGCCACCTGAAATGATGCAAAGGTCTAGCTGTGTGTGTAGGAGAAAGAAGAGAGGCCAGATATTGGAAGACAGCAGTGGTCTGTGCCCCAGGCCCCATGGTTTAGGGAAGTGAACCTTGGCACTGGATTTCCTGGCTTTCTAAATCTCCCTTTATAGGGAACTTAGGGCCCAGTCTGTGGTGGGTGGATTTGCCTGGTTCACAGCCTCTGGTCAGCCTTCTTTCTGCTCCACAGGGCGGCCTGGAGATGGTGGGCTCCTTGTCACACTGGTTGGGGATGTGGGCTCCATGGGGCCAGAGATGTGTGTGCTCTGTGTTCAGATTAAGGGACAGACGGCACATGAATTCCTTCAGTGCCCTCCAGATTTGGTCACTGGGGAGGGGTAGGCTGAGCAGTAGCTCTTGGGTCTGTAGTAGTGTGACCCTGGAAGGACTGTCCAGCTGAAAACAAGAGCCTGGGGCGTGGGGAGGGGAGGGGTTACTCAGGGTTCCATGAGACCTGGGTTTAAGTCCTGGATCCATCATTAGCAGCTATGTGAACTTATGCCTCACTTTCCTCAAATATGAACTTGAGATAATGAAATTACCTTCCTCATAATACTGTTCTAAGAATTGAATGAGGAAAGGTTTACAATTCGGCCCTGGTTGTTCCACTGGGGAGGGAACAGAGATTGGGGGCACAGGGCTCCCCTGGCCTGGGGGAGTCTGGCTCACTCAAGTTCTCAGTCATTTGCAAGGCAAGGACCCTGCTTCTCCTTGCTCTGGGTCCGAGTAGTCTCAAGCCCAGTGGGCAGGGCCTGTGGTGTGGATGGACTCGTCTGCAGTGAGTCAGGCAGCAGGCAGAGCTGGCAGGCTGTGTGGTCTCTAGTGGGTACCAGGGGACCTGGGAGGGCCTTGTGGGAGGTTGTCCACGGTGTGAGCCAGTTTGCCATCTGGGGTCCTGGAGTTCCCTCCCGCCCTTTGAGTTAAAAAGAGTCAGTCCTGGGCTGAGACTTAATTGCGCTAGTGCTGAGTGACCTTGTGTCAGGGGAAATCGGATGGGGCAAAGTGTTTTTTAATTAGCAGGACTCACTGACCTTTCCTTCACTGTCAGCAACTTCTCACAGGGAGGCAGAGCAAGGGGGGCTGGAGCCCCGCATCTCTCTAATGGAGCCTATGTCCAACAAGGAGGTGGATGGCTGGATTCAGGGCCCTGGGAGGACTTCATGTGGGAAGCAGACCTCAGGAAGGGCCCTTAGTGATGGTGTGGGCCAGGGTTCTCACCTCCTTAGTCTCCTGTCCTGTCCATCTCCGCAGATCCTAGGCAAAAGAAGCGGAGAAACACTCAAGCCACTGGGGTGGTTAGGGCACACTGGTGGCAACTGTTTAAAACCTTAACTAAAACAAGGTTAAGCAAAAGGAGTTTACAGGCTCTCATAGATGGGAAGGATGTGGGAGGGTCACAGACTGAGAGGAACCAGGGCTGTGGCTGCTGGAAGGAGCCTCACCACCGCCAGTGTGTTTCCTCCCCGTCGTCGGCATCTCTGCTTCTCTCTGCACGCCAGCAGCTCTCTCTTAGGGCACGCAGACCTTTCCTCTGCAGGGGAACACGAGTGCCGGCAGCCCCGAGTTAGTGACTATCATAGAAACTCAGTGTATTTCTCTCTTGTTTATCATTCCGAGTCCTGAGTCACAGGCTTGTCCAGCACTCAAGACTTTTTCTTTTCTCTATTTTTTGAAACGGATTCTCGCTCTGTCCCCCAGGCTGGAGTGCAGTGGCCCGATTTTGGGTGCAAGCGATTCTCCTGCCTCAACCTCCCGAGTAGCTGGGACTACAGGTGTGCGCCACCACATCCAGCTAATTTTTGTATTTTTAGTAGAGACGGAGTTTCACTATGTTGGCCAGGCTGGTTTCAAACTCCTGACCTCCCGCCGGCCTCAGCCTCCCAAAGTGCTGGGATTACAGGCATGAGCCACCACGCCTGGCCAAGATTTTTTCTTTTAAACCTGGAGTATGGAGATGCTCACTAGGCAGACAGAATCAGCCACCACAGCCCACTCCCTCAGCCAGTATTACTTTGACTAAGTTAGTGAGGAACCAGGCCCCAGATTAAGAAGCAGAACTCACACTGTCATCTGCTGTGTGCCTGGCTGGCTCATGCATACCTTGTCTATCTAATGTGGACCAAAGCCCTGTGGCACACCCTGCTGGTTACCCCCAGTGGTTACCCTGGCACAGAGGAGGAAAGGGAGTCGTGGGAGGGAGAAGGACTTCCCTGGGAGGTCTCTGGGCTGGCAAGTTGGGTGACACAGGTCCGGTTGGCTGCAAGCCTGGGCTCTGCTGTTGTAATCATAAATGTGTGTGTGTGTACAGTTGTTTACAATGTCAGCATGGGTGTCCTTGTTTGTTAGAGATACATGCCACTGCTCCCATCATGAGGAAAATCCCAAGCCCTCCCCATGATTTTTGCCAGTTTCTGGGGACTCATGCTCCTGGCAGCCCATGTGTCCCCAACTCCTGTGTCCTTTAGGGACCTCTGTTGAGCCCTGCCTCTATTCTGGCAGAATTAGAGAAAATTCTTTAAAAAAACAATAAAGTTTAAATTCATTTAAAAAAATAATAAAAAATCTCACAGCATGAGTTTTGATGAGATTTGGGGCAAGGTGGGCCACAACCTTGGGTTGTATGGCCACCTCCCCCTCTTCTTCCCCTGTTGTCTCTGCAGCTCAGAAACCCCAATTTCCTGGCCTGTGTTATGTGGAGGAGCTGAGCTCACCCCCTACAGCTTCATCTCCAAACCTAGCAAGGATCCTGCCCAGATCAGGAGATCCTCCTTTTAACAGAAGTTATTTACACTCCTTAGAAAGCAGTGGGGGTGGAACGATTCTTTTTCCTGATGCAGAGATGTAAAACTGGGACATTGCTACACATAATATTTTAAACCTGTCTTCCCTCTTACCAACGAACACATCACTAGCACCATCTATGCCAATACATTTCTCAACATCAATTTCAGTGGCTGTATTACATTTTATCCTACGGATGTGCTCTCATTTATAATCTAAACCACTTTTATTGAACACATCAGTTATTCTGAAATTTTCAGTGTTATGATGGATGTTGCAGTAATTATTCTTATATATGCACAGAACCCCCAGAGGACATGACTACTGAAGGCTGTGCTGGCAGGATCACAGGTAAGGATCTAGCAAATTGTCCCAGCTTCATTGACTGAGCTTTCATCCTTGTTGCACTACTTTGAGCTGCCATTTTGATCATATAATAATGATTTAGTAGAGCTCTTTTTTGGTTCAACCTACCTGTTCTTGTATCAGAACTGAAATGTTTGATTTTATAAATTTGAATAGTGGCACAATATAGAGTTCACTATTCCTCAATATTTTCAAGGCTGTTTCTTATCTGTTCATTCTTTTGGTTAACTTGGGAATTATTTTATCAAGTCTCTCTACTTCCCAATTTCCTTTCACCTTTGGCTCGAAATGATATTCAATGTATACATTAACTTGAGTTACATTTTGCTGCATAATGCTTGAGTTACATTTTGAGTATTACGTGTTACTCATAATACATATTGAGTTACATTTTGCTGCATAATACATTATCCCCAAGTTTAACACCTTAAAGCAGCACATATATATCTCATACCCTTCTGAGGGTCAGGAATCTAGAAGCAGCTTAGCTGGGTGACTGTGGCTCTGGGTCTCTCATGAGGCTGCAGTGAAACTGTTGGCCAGGGCTGGAGGATCCCTTCCAACCTCACTCCATGACTGTTGGTGGGAGGCTTCAGTTCTCCACCTGGTTCTCACAATATAATTTCCCCCAGAGTGAGTTATCAGAGAGAGTGTGCAACCAGTAATCTGTTAGAATATGTCACGTCTGTCATATTTGATTGGTCACTCAGACCAACCCTAATAGATGCGAGAGTGACTATGCAAGGGTGTGAGTTCCAGGAGGAAAGCATCATTGGAACCATCTTGGAGACTGGCTAATACACAGATAAATGGCACATCTGACAATATGGCATCTTTCTGAGTGTCAGTGTGGTGTGTTCCTATATGAACTTAATGCTATTAAACTTAATTAAATTGTAGGTATGCTCTCAGTGAAGATTTTTACTTTTACATTACAGGTTTCCACACTGTTAAATTCATTCCAAGTATTTCATACATGCTGTTCCTATTATGAAAGGATCTTTTTTTTCACATGGCATTTTCTAAGTAGTTGTTGCATTCATATAGGAGATGCTATTGATTTTGACACCCATAATTTTTCAGTGGAGACAAGGCAGAAACTACTCCAGACTCTCACCTGCTGTTGCTGATCCTTACATGGTGGCTGTGCCAGGCTCAGCCGCGCTGAGATGACAGGGCTGTCTGGCCATCATTGGTCATATGGACTTCAGATTTGAAAGGATTTTATGTAGAAGCAGAGTGCCTGATAGGACTCTCCGGGACCCCCATTTCTGCCCTGCTTGGCTCCCACTGGCAAGGCTGGCTCAGTTCCTGTCACCTTCTCCTGGACTTTGGCCAGAGTCCACTGGCTGTTTCCCCTGCCTCCTGCTCTCCCAGTGCCCTCTCCACACCAGTGCCAGAGCTGCTTCTAAGAGATGCCTCAAAGCCCGCTTCCAGCTTAGGAACCCCAGGGAACATGGATGGTTTCTCCATTGCCACTTCCTAGCCTTCCTGGCATAGGAAGGTCTGGTTTGCCTGCAGGTCCCTCTCTGGGGGGGTCCCTGCTCCATAGATGCTGAGGCTCCAGAAGTCTGTTCTTTTATATCACATTTGAAAACCTTTGAAATGCATTATAGTTGAGTCATATGAATTATGTAAGTATATCCTACTCATTGTATAAAACAACACAGAATTGTCTAAAGTGTCATTTTTCTCCGCATTCCAAGAAAAAGCTAAGAAGCAATGCTAAACAATTAGGCGTGTGATCTTCTGTACTTTTCCCTTTGTCTCCACAAAAGTAATCGGACATACAGAATTTTAAAAATGGATTACCCTGGGAAAGGCTCCTCCTCTCCCTCTCCCTCCTCTCCCTCTCCCTCCTCTCCCTCTCCCTCCTCTCCCTCTCCCTCCTCTCCCTCTCCCTCCTCTCCCTCTCCCTCCTCTCCCTCTCCCTCTCCCTCTCCCCACGGTCTCCCTCTCCCTCTCTTTCCACGGTCTCCCCCTGATGCCGAGCCAAAGCTGGACTGTACTGCTGCCATCTCGGCTCACTGCAACCTCCCTGCCTGATTCTCCTGCCTCAGCCTGCCGAGTGCCTGCGATTGCAGGCGCGCGCCGCCACGCCTGACTGGTTTTCGTATTTTTTTGGTGGAGACGGGGTTTCGCTGTGTTGGCCGGGCTGGTCTCCAGCTCCTAACCGCGAGTGATCCGCCAGCCTCAGCCTCCCGAGGTGCCGGGATGGCAGACGGAGTCGTGTTCACTCAGTGCTCAATGGTGCCCAGGCTGGAGTGCAGTGGCGTGATCTCGGCTCGCTACAACCTCCACTTCCCAGCTGCCTGCCTTGGCCCCGCAAAGTGCCGAGATTGCAGCCTCTGCCCGGCCGCCACCCCGTCTGGGAAGTGAGGAGCGTCTCTGCCTGGCCGCCCATCGTCTGGGATGTGAGGAGCCTCTCTGCCTGGCTGCCCAGTCTGGAAAGTGAGGAGCGTCTCTGCCCGGCCGCCATCCCATCTAGGAAGTGAGGAGCGTCTCTGCCAGGCCGCCCATCTTCTGCGATGTGGGGAGCGCCTCTGCCCTGCCGCCCCGTCTGGGATGTGAGGAGCGTCTCTGCCCGGCTGCCCCGTCTGAGAAGTGAGGAGACCCTCTGCCTGGCAACCGCCCCGTCTGAGAAGTGAGGAGCCCCTCCGCCCAGCAGCCACACCCTCTGAGAAGTGAGGAGCCCCTCCGCCCGGCAGCCACTCCGTCTGGGAAGTGAGGAGCGTCTCCGCCTGGCAGCCACCCCGTCTGGGAGGGAGGTGGGGGTCAGCCCCCCGCCCGGCCAGCCGCCCTGTCCAGAAGGGAGGTGGGGGGGTTAGCCCCCCGCCCGGCCAGCCGCCCCATCCAGGAGGGAGGTGGGGGGGGTCATCCCTCTGCCCGGCCAGCTGCCCGTCCGGGAGGGAGGTGGGGGGGTCAGCCCCCCGCCCGGCCAGCCACCCCGTCCGGGAGGTGAGGGGCGCCTCTGCCCGGCCGCCCCTACTGGGAAGTGAGGAGCCCCTCTGCCCGGCCAGCCGCCCCGTCCAGGAAGGATGTGGGGGGGTCAGCCCCGGGCCCGGCCAGCCGCCACATCCGGGAGGTGAGGGGCGCCTCTGCCCGGCCGCCCCTACTGGGAAGAGAGGAGCCCCTCTGCCCGGCCAGCCGCCCCGTCCGGGAGGGAGGCGGGGAGGTCAGCCCCCCGCCCGGCCAGCCGCCCCGTCCAGGAGGGAGGCGGGGGGGTCAGCCCCCCGCCTGGCCAGCTGCCCCGTCCGGGAGGTGAGGGGCGCCTCTGCCTGGCCGCCCCTACTGGGACGTGAGGAGCCCCTCTGCCCGGCCAGCCGCCCCGTCCAGGAGGGAGGTGGGGGGGTCAGCCCCCCACCCGGCCAGCCGCCCCATCCGGGAGGGAGGTGGGGGGGTCAGCCCCCCACCCGGCCAGCCGCCCCATCCGGGAGGGAGGCGGGGAGGTCAGCCCCCCGCCCAGCCAGCCGCCCTGTCCGGGAGGGAGGCGGGGGGGTCAGCCCCCTGCCCGGCCAGCCGCCCCGTCCGGGAGGTGAGGGGCGCCTCTGCCCGGCCGCCCCTACTGGGAAGTGAGGAGCCCCTCTGCCCGGCCACCACCCCGTCTGGGAGGTGTACTCAACAGCTCATTGAGAACGGGCCATGATGACAATGGCGGTTTTGTGGAATAGAAAGGGGGGAAAGGTGGGGAAAAGATTGAGAAATCGGATGGTTGCCATGTCTGTGTAGAAAGAGGTAGACATGGGAGACTTTTCATTTTGTTCTGTACTAAGAAAAATTCTTCTGCCTTGGGATCCTGTTGATCTGTGACCTTACCCCCAACCCTGTGCTCTCTGAAACATGTGCTATGTCCACTCAGGGTTGAATGGATTAAGGGTGGTGCAAGATGTGCTTTGTTAAACAGATGCTTGAAGGCAGCATGCTCATTAAGAGTCATCACCACTCCCTAATCTCAAGTACCCAGGGACACAAACACTGCGGAAGGCTGCAGGGTCCTCTGCCTAGGAAAACCAGAGACCTTTGTTCACTTATCTGCTGACCTTCCCTCCACTATTGTCCTGTGACCCTGCCAAATCCCCCTCTGCGAGAAACACCCAAGAATGATCAATAAAAAAGAAAAAAAATGGATTACCCTGTGCACAGTATTCTGCATGGCGTCTTTTCATTTTATCAACGGTGGCCACTTCCCTCGACGAAACAGTCGACTTCATTGTGACAGGAGTAGAGGTCCATGCTGGGCAACCCACCCCCATGGAGGGACACTCAGGTGGTTTCCAGTCACTTGCACAACATTGTTGCGTGCGTGGGCCTTCCGGGCCCGGAAGAAACTGCGTTCGCGTGCAACATTAAACACCCCACATGGGCTGGTGAAAAATGAAAGCAAAATAAGACCAGTTGAAAGGCGGCAGAAAACCTGTGTGACTACTCCGTGGCTCCCCTGCCTGGTTTCCAGCCGCGGACTCTGCTCTTCGGCGCGACCCCTGCTCCTGGGGTCCTCTGGGGTCCTCTGGGGTCCTCCCGCACACCCAGGCCAGGCACACCCAGGTTGCGAAGCCGAGTGCCTCCCCGTGCGGCCGCCAGGGAGCGCCCCAGGCCTGGCCGAGTCCCCCGCCCTCCACCCCGCCAGGCCCAGGAGAATTGATAGGCGGGCCCCGAAGCACGTCTTCCCGGAAACCGGACTTCACCCGCTCCCGGGCTGCCATCCGCGGCTGGGTGACGCTCACGTCCCCGCGATTCGGTGTCTCTTGGCCTCCTGCCCCGCTGACCTGGGAGTGCCAGGGATCACCCCGCCCCCAGCGAGATCCCCTCTATCGCACAAAATGGGCGCTAGCGGGGGTCATTCTAGTCCGGCTGCCTCACTCTCCCGACGGTCCTCCAGGGTGGCACCATCACCGTTCTCGCCCGCCTCCAGCCGGCCCATTCCTGCTGCTCCCTACAGCGTTGTCCCTGCCCCGTGCCCTCTTGTGGTCGTAGGTATCTGGCGGCCCGGGAAAGACAAAAAGAAGCTGCCCGCAGGAGCCCAGACCCTGGGGGCCTTCCTCCCCTTGTCTCCTCTTTGGACTCGGGGGTCTCCCACCAGCCACGGCGAGGGGGAGAAAGAGAATAGCTGGGCAGAGGCTAGGGAAGACCCCCGGTCTCAGAAACTGAGGGGAGCCAGGACTCCCGGTGGGGGAGTCGGTGCAAGCCCTGAGGTGGGTGGATGGGAGTCCAGGGCCACAGCTCTGCAGCGGACAGGCGAGTCCTGTGGCGGCTCTAGGAAGGTCTGGGCACACTGGGACCAGCTAGCTGGACCTGGGTGGGGAGGGGTGGGGCGTCTGACTCCACTCCTGTGACCTGGACATTGCCTAGCTGAGCAGGAGCTTTGACCCTATGGGCTTACAGCTCATCTGAATCTGCTTAGTCCATCTTCCTGTTGTGTTAACCTTGCAGAGGGGGAAGAATGCCAACTCTCCACCCCTCTTCCATCACTCTTGGGTACCTGATCCACCTTCCACCCTCATGGGCAAGGAAGGGGACAGGAAGGTCACCAATCCAACCAAGCCACAGTGCCAAATCCTGTTGGTTCGTTTGTTTTCCCTTGGTTGGGTTATGTTTTCAAACCATCAACAGATTCATAGTTGCTAGTGGATGTCAAATTTCAAAACGGGGGAGTCCCAATACAGTGACTTGTCCATTAGGAAGCCATAGGCAAGCCACTTACTTTCTCTGAGCTTCAATATCCTTGTCCCAATAAGAAGGCATCTGTGATTTGCTCTGAGCACATATTTAGGGTGAGCTTTCACCCTAAAGATCTCAGCAACGGCAGCTTCTACCCACCTTCACACACCAAAGAGAGGGTGGCTTCCCTCCCAGCAGAAGGCAACATCCCGCCATTCCAGTGTGCTTCTGATCAGGGCACAGAGAAGAGCCAGTTTCATCTTCTTTCTTTTTGGTCAACTCCAGGCATCTGCAACAAACAAGATTAACAACGACCATTAAAACTGGCCCCTGGAGGGTTTATCTGTCAGCCACGCATGGCTGCAGGATCTCATTATATATAGGCCAAAGGGAAAGGATGTCTGCTTCCTTTCTGTCCTGGAATTCCAAGATAAAATCCCCTCCAGTTGTCTCTACTGATTCCATTTTGTTTTCTTTCTTGGCTGTAACACAGATAGGAGGAAAAATCTTTCCTCCCCCAAGGCAGAGTTTTAAACGCATCATCTCAGAATGCCAAATGTTCTGGAAAGGAAGAAAGTTGGCAGCGAAGGAACCCGCAGAGAGAGGGGCTGAGAGGGCTGAGGGGCCCAGCAGCTTCTGGCAGGCTCCTCTGGTCTGTGTTTGAAATTGGCTGAAAAGACATGGAATTTAGTAGGCAAGTCTGCCTCCTTCTCCTCCTCTTATCTGCAGAGGAGAGATCAGTTCCCAGCTGGCCGGGGCAGTGTCATTGATATAGCTGGTGTCATTGTTACCTTCCACTAACAGATCACTCGACACCTACCAGCCCAGGCAGGGCTGGGACTGGGCATTTCCTGGCTGAGCTGGAGGCTTGGGCCCTTCCCATTGTCTCAGAACCCCAGGTGATGCCAAGACATGGGCTCTCCTGGGATGCCGTGCTTGGTGACCCAGGAGAAGGACTAGATTGCTCCTGGTGGTTGCTCCCCCTTGCAGAGTCCCACCTGCCCCTTTGGGTCCTGTTGCCTGGCCTCTTTTGCTGTCCTGGGTAGAGGAGATGAGTTCGTCGCTGGCTGCAAGCTGAGGCCAACTGACAATGCTGCACAGAGAAGGGGCACCGAGAGTGGCCCCGGATTGAGCAGTCCGTAGTGCAGAGCAGCCCCTCGGGCGTTCTGCCTGGCCCTGCTTCCCCTGCTGGCTGCCCTTCTGGTGCGTGCATCCCAGGTGGCATCATGCTGCAGCAGATCCTGCACGACATGTACATCGACCCCGAGCTCCTTGCCGAGCTCAGCGATGTGCAGAAGCACATCCTCTTCTACAAAATGCGGGAGGAGCAGCTGAGGCGCTGGAAGGAGCGGGAGACTTGGGAGGCCCTGGCCCAGGACGAGGGTCTCAGGCCTCCAAAGACCAAGCGAGGTACGTGGCTGGGAGTCACAGAGAGGTAGGCCACCAGTCCCCCAGGAGGTAGAAAAATTAGCAGGGCCAGGCTGTGCCCTTCTTCAAGATGGGCACTGGGGTGATGAGGGCTGGGGGCTTGAAACCCTTGTCTTGTGGGCATCAGGTCCCATGAGCCTGTGCTTTTGCCTTTTGGCCAGGACCTTAGGGCTTCGAGGCTGCTGCAGAGGCTGTCCAGCGGCCCTTATTGGAGTCGGGGAGTTGGGACTTGCTTTGTCTTGTTGTGGAAGGCCCGAGTTCTGGGAAGACACCATTGAGACTTCAGATTGTGCTCCGACGTGGTTGGCAATGGTAGGGTGAACGACGGCATATTTGTGACCCTTGCCATTGGTTCTGGGCCAGAGTGTGGTGTAGATATGCAGTTCCTTTCTCCTTGGCATGCGTGGCACACCAGTTCTTGGCTAGGGCCCCTTCTGTGGACTGTGCCTCTCCCTCCAGATCCTCCGGCAGGAGGATGCTGTGGGTTGTCTCTGGAGCCCCACTGGGCATCCGGAGAGAGGGCATCAGGGAACGTCCCACACAATGAATGACCATCCCCAAATGGTCGTAGCAACTGCAGATGAGAAGCAAGGGCCTAGCCTACATTTCAGGTGTTTTGTATGCAAAGTCATGTGCCAGTCAATCCTATGGACTGGTACACCTGTGGGTGAAGGAAATCATCCAGGACCCCTGGGCCAGAAACTGGCAGGCTGCTGAGGCTTGGCTTGGCACAGGACTCAATCCTGCCAGGGATTGTAGTTTCTGTGGATGCTGCATGCACTTTACAGTTTGCAAGGCTTATGTGCCTTCACCCTTTGAAGTTTTCAATCCAGAACAAAGTCCTGTTTCAGGGCTGAGCACACAGCTCCCTTGGTGATCTGGCTCTTCTCCATGCCAGGCTCACTGCTGGCCAGTCCCCACCAGGTGCCACAGGCCACACCCACATCATCTGGACATGCTTGCTCTTGTCTCTGGTCTTCACATGAGTGGCTCTCACCGTTGGGAATGTCCTTCTGCCTTCATCCACCTGACAGACTCCATCAGGAGTGGCCCCCCTGCCCTGGAGTGTTCAGGGATGCTCTTGCATAGGGCAGTACTTGCTCCTCTGTGGCTGCCTGGCATGTAGGACCCACGCCTGCCCTGGCATTTGCCACCCTGTCATTGTCATTCCTCATCTGCTTGCCTGGCTCTCCGATGGGCTCAAAGGCACTGGTGTGTGAGGGCTTCCTCCACTCTATCTTCCTCCCCTGGGCCCAGCACAGAGGTGGCACATGGTGTTAAATCCTTGTTTTGAACAAGACACAGCAGGACCCTGCCGGGGAGGTTGGGGCAGAGCTGTGACTTGGCTGCAGGTGGCTGCTGCCAAAGCTGGGGCCTTCCGGGCTGGGCTGCGCTGGCAGCTGCATCACTAACTGGTGAAATGACAAGCCACCTTGCCAGCACCACCCGGCCTGAGCCCTGGGGACTCATGATGCCTGCATGATGACTCTTCTTGGAGGGAGACAGATGCCTAAAAATTTAACTGCAAAAATATTTATACAGAGATTTGTCACACATAGACATCTACATTTTCATGTATAAATTATACATTAAACTCATTTGAGTTTCTGGTGCAGAAGATCCTTTTTCTGGTAATTAATTTTCTGATTTATAAAGAATGGAAAAGCAGGAAAGCACGCCGAGGAATGTGTGTATCCCAGGTCAGGATCCCGCTTGGATCCTGGCTCTTTGCTTCGGTCCTGCCTTTTGGAACTGTCTGGGCATGCCACTGGGGAGCCTGGGGGCTGGCCCTGCCCAGGAGCCGGAAGAGCTTTCGGCCGGAGGGTCCAGGATATACAGTATCTGCTTCATGTCCTGGGGTCGTGATGAAGGGTGGCAACAACTTGTGAGCTTTACGTTGACTGGGTGCCTACCCAGCCCTTGCTGCTCCCGTGTCCCTGCGGGGTGGCAGGGCAAGCTCCCTGATTTCATTGCAGATAAGGAAGGTGAGGCTCAGAGAAGTGATGCGCTACATCCAAGGTCATCCAGCTGCTACATCTCATGACTTGGATCTGGGGTCTGGTGACTGATTTTTTTTCTGTTCATTCACTTCCAAACTCGGAACTCCAATTAAACAAGTGAGCTGTGCACACATTCACTTGTTCACTCATTCACCAATTCATTCACTTATCCAGCATTACTATGTGCTGATTTCAGTGAATGGGGCAGTGCTTGTCCTGGAGACGGTGGGTAGATGGATCATAGGGAACACAGCCAACTCGAGTGCCAAGGGTGAGGCTTGGTTCAAAGCAGCCGTGCCGTGTCCCAGGGCGGGAATTGTGCGGGGACGGGCTCCACGGAGGAATCTTCTCTTCCTTCCCTTGATGTTGCCAGAGGACTCAGGAGGCTCTCCAGATGCTGGTGAGACCCCAGCCCCAGTTGATGTCCAGGCTCTTGAAACTGTCTTGAGAAAGAACTCGGGAATGAGTCAGAATGATAGGAAAGGCAAGAAACTGTTAGTGAGAAGCGAAAGTACACACTTGAGAGAGAAGTGCGGGCGTGCTCATGAGAACGTGTCACACCCAGCAGAGTCTGGGTTTCTAATTTTATGGGTGTTTCTTTAATTAGGGGATGGAACAATTATTAGGTGTTCTGGAAGAGGAGGAGATTTCAGGGAACCCCCTGGGTTACTGTCTCCTTTCTCCCTTCTTTGGGTTTGCCCAGAAGAGCCATGGACAAGTCACCCTGAGTGGGATTTCAGCTGTTTTTACTCTCTTCCTTTGGGTTTTCTGTTATCTTGTTGTTTCTTTGTCTTGTTCTTGTTTTAGCTGTTGTTTGGGTTTTTCCATGCTCCTGTGACCACCCAGTGCTATTCTTGTCTCATTGACAGGCATCCTCTTTCCTGGTCCCCTCCCTACACATTTTTTTTCTGAAGGAAGCACCTGCTGTAGCCCTGCTGAGCTGTTTGCTGGCCCCTTGGGATCCCTGAGCATGACGTGGGTTAGTCCTGGTCAGCCTAGAGTGACACTGGGCCTCCTCCGGGCCATCGTCCCCAGTGCTCTAAAGCCTTCCCTCTCCCCTCTTTTCTGGGAACATTCCTCGCTCCTGGCAAGCCTGGCTTTGCCATCCCTTGGGCTCAAGTAACACTCCCCATGTCCCTACAGACAGGCAGGCAGGACAAGGTGTGCCTTGTGCCTGAGAACCTCACAGCCCCGGAGTTGTGCCTGGTGAGGGTGCGAGTAAACACTGGTGATGTGAATCATTCTCGTTTACAGAACCTAGGAGGTTTTCTTGATTCTGAGATCCACATTTGGAACCCACAGAAGTAAGCTTGGGTGAAAGCTTAGAGGCGGACTGTGAAAGGTAGGAAGGAGAGGAGATGAGGGCACGGCTGGACACATCACTCCTCTGAGCACATGGCATTTCTTTTCTGTTTTCACTTTACGCTTTGGCAAGAACCCTCTGATGTTCTATGCTGTGGTGGATGGTGTGGACCCCTCAGCTTGGTAGGTTTTTTAAATCTAACATCATGCTTATTGTGCTATCACGTTTCTGACAAAGTTCGTTGTCCAGTATATTGAGTATATTGAGACTCAGAGAAGGCATGTTATCACATTATGTCCCAGCAAGACTTCAGTCAAACCCCTCTAGCATGGCCACGACCTGTGCAAGCTCGTTCTCTCCTCATTCTCCTTGGCCACCACAGGAATGCACATCCTGTGTTAGGAATTATGAACTTCACAACCCTGTGGACTCCTCTCTGCTTACTCAGTCATCCCAGGTTCTCAGGGCCAGAGCTGGGTGTGACCAGGGGACACAGGACTGAGGACACATGTCCACACTACTGACCCAGGAAGCTTCCCTGTTTGGACCTGTCAGTTCTATCTTTTTTTTTTTTTTTTTCAGACAGAATCTCACTCTATTGCTCAGGCTGAAGTGCAGTGGTGTGATCTCGGCTCACTGCTACTTCTGCCTCCCGGGTTCAAGCGATTCTCCTGTCTCAGCCTCCCAAGTAGCTGGGATTACAGGCGCCCACCACCACAACCAGCTAATTTTTGTATTTAATAGAGACATGGTTTCATCATGTTGGCCAGGCTGGTCTTGAACTCTTGACCTCAGGTAATCCGCCCTCCTCGGCCTCCCAAAATGCTGGGATTACAGGCACGAGCCACTGTGCCTGGCCCTGTCAGTTTTATCTTGATTGACAGTTTCTGCTACTGTTAAATTGGTTCCTCTGTGACCGCCTCTCATCCTTCTGGATGCTTTTGCCTGGGAGCCAGACGTCTTTCCCTCCCGCTCTTCCCACTCTCCTGTTTGTGAATCAAGCCTGCACACTCAGGAAGCTGCTTCTTTCCTTTAGGTTTCCTACCAGGCAGCCAGCCTTCCTATGCCTGCTCACTGTCCTGCCCTCATTCCAGCCAGCAGAGTGCTCTGAGCCCAGTGGGGTTCCAGCCTCTACTGCCTCCATTCTCCACAGCTGGGCTCAGGATGTGCTCCCAGATGCAGCCCTGGCCTGGGGCCTAAGGGACTCACCCTCTTTAGCATCTTCTTTATTTCTCAGCATCAAGTTGAGAGGTGACAGCGTGCTGGCTGTCCTCACAGCCCTCTCTCGCTCTCGGTGCCTCCTCTGCCTGGGCTCCCTCCCACTTTGGCGGCACTTGAGGAGCCCTTCAGCCCGCCGTTGCACTGTGGGAGCCCCTTTCTGGGCTGGCCAAGGCCGGAGCCGGCTCCCTCAGCTTGCAGGGAGGTGTGGAGGGAGAGGCGCCAGCGGGAACCGGGGCCAGCGCGAGTTCCGGGGGGCGTGGGCTGGGCGGACCCCGCACTCGGAGCGGCCGGCCACCTGGCCGGCCCCACCGGCCCGGGGCAGTGAGGGGCTTAGCACCTGGGCCAGCAGCTGCTGTGCTCAATTTCTCACCGGGCCTTAGCTGCCTTCCCGCGGCGCAGGGCTCGGGACCTGCAGCCCTCCATGCCTAAGCCTACCCCCTGCCTCCGTGGGCTCCTGTGCCGCCCAAGCTTCCCCGATGAGCGCCACCCCCTGCTCCACGGCGCCCAGTCTCATCTACCACTCAAGGGCTGAGGAGTGCGGGCGCACCGCGCGGGACTGGCAGGCAGCTCCACCTGCAGCCCCAGTGCGGGATCCACTGGGTGAAGCCAGCTGGGCTCCTGAGTCTGGTGGGGTCATGGAGAACCTTTATGTCTAGCTAAGGGATTGTAAATACACCAATCGGCACTCTGTATCTAGCTCAAGGTTTGTAAACACACCAATCAGCACCCTGTGTCTAGCTCAGGGTTTGTGAATGCACCAATGGACACTCTGTATCTAGCTACTCTGGTGGGGACTTGGAGAACCTTTGTGTAGACACTCTGTATCTAGCTGATCTGGTGGGGATGTGGAGAACCTTTTTGTCTAGCTCAGGGATTGTAAACACACCAATCAGCGCCCTGTCAAAACAGACCACTCGGCTCTACCAATCAGCAGGATGTGGGTGGGGCCAGATAAGAGAATAAAAGCAGGCTGCCCAAGCCAGCAGTGACAACCCACTCCTGTCCCCTTCCACACTGTGGAAGCTTTGTTCTTTTGCTCTTTGCAATAAATCTTGCTATTGCTCACTGTGGGTCCACACTGCCTTTATGAGCTGTAACAGTCACTGCGAAGGTCTGCAGCTTCACTCCTGAAGCCAGCAAGACCGCGAGCCCACGGGGAAGAATGAACAACTCCAGAGGCGCCGCCTTAAGAGCTGTAACAGTCACCACAAAGGTCCGCAGCTTCACTCCTGAGCCAGCGAGACCACGAACCCACCAGAAGGAAGAAACTCCGAACACATCTGAACATCAGAAGGAACAAACTCCGGATACACCGCTTTTAAGAGCTGTAACACTCACCGCGAGGGTCCGTGGCTTTATTCTTGAAGTCAGTGAGACCAAGAACCCACCAATTCCAGACACAGAGTCACTCCCACTGCCCTCATGGAAACTGTATGACACCATCCTTTTCACTAGGCATTTGGCTTCCCTGTTTCCTGGGCCCGTCCAGTAGCCACGGCAACCTTGCCTGCTGGGCTTGGGCCCTCTTGGCTTCCGTGTGTCCTCTTTCCAGGCATGGATGTCCTGACCTTGCATGCCAGCCCTGCCTGGACCCCTGCATGGAGCCCTGCACCTGCCTGCAGACATTCCCATGGTGGCCCTGATCTCAGTGCAGTCCCTGCCCACCCTACCTCAAGCTCATCCCTACAATTCCTTCCCACAGCAGCTGCAGACCTTTGGACACACGAGTTAGCTCACGTATCCCCCTGCCTCGATGGTTTTCATGGCACTCATGAAAGGCACAGGCCTTTGCTGGCACCTGCCCACCTCTTCAAGCTAATTTCCACCATGTGCATCCTTCTGCATGGAATGCCCTTTCCCCAGATCCTCATGAGGCTCTTCTGGGTCATCATTCATCTCTCGGTTGAATGCAGAGTTCTTCACTGGTCACCCACTCGCAATGAGCCCCATCCCAATCTCTCTCTTTCAAAACCTGCCTACTTTTCTTCCTAGCACTTAGCATGTCTGCAAGTATATTTTTAAAAATTATGGTAAAATACACATAACATGAAATTTACCATTTTAGCCATTTAAAGTGTGTAATTCAGTGACATTTAGTACATTCAAAATATTGTCCAACTATCACCACTGTCTAGTTCCAGAACATTTTTCTCACTTCAAAAACAAACCCCGTAGCCATGAATGGTCACTCCCTAGCCCCTCCTGTGCTCAGGACCTGGCCACCACTGATCTGCTTTCTGTCTCCGCGAATTTGCCTCTTCCTCCTCTTTCTTCTCCTTCTCTCTCTTCCTCTTCTTCCTTTCCTCCTCCTTCTCCTTCTTTTGCTTCTCCTCCTCCTCTCCTCTTTCTCTTACTTTCTGTCCTCTTTCTTCTTCTCCTTTCTCTCCTCCTCTCCCTTTTCTTCTTCTCCTTTTTCTCCTCCCTCTCTTCTCCCTTTTCTTCTTCTTCTTCCTCTCCTCCTTTCTTTTCTCCTCCTCTTCTCCGCTTTCTTCTACTCCCTCTCCTCTTGCTCCATGTACCTGTTTGCTTGTTTACGGTCCATCTCTTCCATTAGCCTAAAAGTGCCATGAGTCCATGGATGTTGCTTGCATTGTTACAGTTTCTATCCCAGCATCGAGAACAAGGTCTGGGGCAGAGATGGGGTGTGCATGGGTGAGTAGCGGCTAAGGTGCTTAAATGTGTGCTGTGACAGAGGGGTTTGACTGGGGACACAGATGCTAAAGGATTGCTTTTTTGAGTGAAAGGCTGTGTGCTGCACGATGTGACCTCTCCACCCCACTACACATCAAAAATCCTCACTAAAAGTATAGAAATCAGAATATATGTGTGCTTTGGGATTTGTTGTAGAGGCTGATATACAATAATATATGTATAAGCAATGATAAATCTGTCACCTTTTCACTTTTACTTACAACTCATTCCATTTTCTTATTTTCTCTCCTTTCTCTCTCTCTTTCTTTCTTTCTCTTTCTTTCTTTCTCTCTCTTTCTTTTTTTTTTTTTTTTTAGACAAGGTCTTGCTCTGTCATCCAGGCTGCAGTGCAGTGGTGCAATCTCAGCTCACTGCAACCTCTGCCTCCCAGGTTCAAGTGATCCTCGCACCTCAGCCTCCTGAGTAGCTGGGACTACAGGCGTGTGCCACCATGCACGGCTAATTTTTGTGTTTTTTTTTGTAGAGACAGGGTCTCAGCATGTTGCCTAGACTGCTCTCGAACTTCTGGGCTCAAGCAATCCACCAGCCTTGGCCTCCTAAAGTGCTGGGATTATAGGTGTGAGCCACTGCGCTGGCCACTCATTCAATTTACATTTCTTGTTTTAGGATTTGAACTTGGGTTTTAGCCTGACCAATGCTACTTTTTTTCTTTGCATTTACTTGGTGTATATTTGCCTGTATCTCCCACCACAGCCTTTTGATGCCATTTTGTTTTAAGAGACTGTCTTGGAAAATGTATATTAAATAGCATACGGTATTTTTTTTTTTTTTTTTGATACGGAGTCTCACTCTTTTGCCCAGGCCGGACTGCAGTGGCGCTATCTTGGCTCACTGCAAGCTCCACCTCCTGGGTTCATGCCATTCTCCTGCCTCAGCCTCCCGAGTAGCTGGACCTACAGGCGCCCACCACCGCGCCCGGCTAATTTTTTTTGTATTTTTAGTAGAGACGGGGTTTCACCATGTTAGTCAGGATGGTCTCAATCTCCTGACCTCATGATCCGTCCGCCTCGGCCTCCCAAAGTGCTGGGATTACAGGCGTGAGCCACCGCGCCCAGCCAGCATACGGTATTTTAAAACTTACTTTCATAAATGTATTCAAGCTAATTATCTTTATCAGGAATGAAACATGATCTACTGAAGATGAGAAACATAAGCCTATTTTTATATTCTTCCCCATGGTTTTGTTGGTGTAATCAAGGATGGTAACCTCAGATTTTAGTTGATTTTGTTTACATTATGTATTTCATCTCTCAAGATTTATTTTTTATGCTCATAGTAGAGGTTTTATAATGAAATCCCAATAACAATAGTTGCTTGCATGTTAACTCCACTTTGTCTGGTTTCATTGCTCCCTGTATGTTTTCCCTCTGAGGGGCAGTGATAAATGCTTTATTTCCCCTTTGCCCCACTGTACAAGTGATTTGTCCAATCAAGCAGCGCACCCCTCACTGTTGGGATTCTTAGCACATTACACTGAAGTCACTAAACACCATGGGAAATTCTTGCTTAAAGCTGCCTTGCGCCCCATCCCTAGTCTTGCTGTCATAATATGTTCTTGGGACACCATTGATTTTGGCATGCTGATTTTCCTCAACCTCCTTCTTCAGTGTTTTTTGTTAGTTCCAACAGCTTTTTGGTTGATTCCCTTGGACTATCTAGGGAGCCATGCTGCACAGGAACACTGGGAAGTCAGGGGAGCAGATGCCCCAGATATCTGGACCATAGCTCTTTGTAGCTGTTGTTCACAACCCCTTTCCTGGACACTGGGGACAGTGATTCCAGGACAGTGCTGGGAGCGGGAGGGAGGGGTTAGGGAGGTGACTGACAGAATCTCCTCCCTGGTGTCTCTTCGTGATGTTTATTTACCATTAGTGCCCCATTTCTTTTGTTAAGAAAACACTTCCTGTCACCATGTAAATATTCAAGGAACAATTCTCTGGAGGAAATACTTGATCACGTGTGTATAAGGAGAGAAAATGAGGTGTCTAGGGGTGAGGGACAGTGTCCAGAGCCCTATGGAGGACACTAGTTATTTCCAGGAAGACAAGAAGTAAGAAGCCTCTTGTGCCATGAGAGTTGGAAAGTTGGGGCTGAGTGTGGGTCTGAGGGACCAGTTAAGGCAGCTGGTGATGAATGAGATATTGCCAGCTTCTGAAGGGGAGCCCCAAAATCAAACAAGAAGAAAATCATTAGAAGTGGATTTATGGTGACACAGGGCTGTCCACCTGACCCCAGAGAGATGTCCTATCACCTGTCACCTGTAGGTAGGTACCCCTTGAAGCTCTGGTAGGTATTTGGAAGGCAAGCAGACCCTGACACTCTTCCAGACTTCCCACCCAAGGGATGCTCCCTTAGCTCATTTTCTGAGGGATTCTAAGGTGGGAAATAGTGTCATAGATCATTTTTCTTTCTTCTTAGACAGTTTCACTCTGTCGCCCAGGCTGGAGTGCACTGATGTGATCTCAGCTCACTGCAACCTCCGCCTCCTAGTTTCAAGCGATTCTCCTGCCTCAGCCTCCTGAGTAGCTGGGATTAAGGTGCGTGCCACCATGCCCAGCTAATATTTGTATTTTTAGCAGAGATGGGGTTTCACTATGTTGCCCAGGCTGGTCTCAAACTCCTGACCTCACATAATCTGCCCACCTCGGCCTCCCAAAGTGCTGGGATTACAGGTGTGAGCCACCGCGTCCAGCCTCATTTTTCCACCCTTGGGTGGGCTTGATGTTATTTTCAAAATGCCTATGGCATGGTGGATGGATCCAGGCCAACTCAATTTCATCCTGATTCCACTGGGGTGGCTTTGGAAAGTCACCCATGCAATGAGAATAACAACTCTTTCCCAACAGTTTTTGGAAGAATTAAAAATGCTTCTTCAACAAGGGGGACAGCTTCTGCCACCATGCAGGTACCTAAGAGCCAGGTCATGCTCGTCTCCTTCCTTTCTTGGTTCTGCTGGCAGATCCCCTTGGAATTAGTCTGGGCCTCTTCCTGAGTGCTCCATTGCTAGCCCTAGTCTATGGGACCAGCCACATCACTGTCTAGCCAACCTCAGTTTTTCTGGAGTCTCAGCAATGGGGGGTGACTTAGGGAGCAAGGGCTTTCCTGTGTGTCTCAGATCATCAACCCTTGTGTAGTTTACACATTTACTTTTACTTTTTAGGATATATTGGAGGAAATTCAGTTTTTCCAATGAAGGGTCACTCTTGATTCTTGGGATGCTGATAAGCTTTTCAGATGAATGATGTAAAGATGAGGCATCATGGTGGGTGCAGGAAGAGCACACAGAGAATTGCTGTGATCTGCTGGTAACTGTCGGCACAGCCTGTGGCCTGGGACTCCCTGATTGTGATTGTGTGGCTAAACATAGGGCTCCCTCCTGAGCCAGGCAGTGGAACAAAGGCTAGGGATCTCCGAGAGCTGTGATGGGACTTGATTGTGTGTGTGTGTGTGTGTGTGTGTGTGTGTGTGTGTGTGTGAGTTTGGCATGTGTTCTGCTGGCGTTTGGGGCATGGAGAGAGAGCTGGGGCCAGACCTTTCTGTTCCATCTGCCTGGACCTTGAGATCCGGTATGGCCCTGCCGTGCAGTGGGTGCTTCGCCCAGGTTTGTGGCCTTGACATTGATGGGGCCTCACTTTCTGGCTCCCAGCCTCCTGTTCTGCCTCCATACAGCAGCCAGAAAGGTGAGACAGCTGTGCAGATGAGTGAGCTCCTCAGGGGTGTAGTCTCAGCATCTCCCCTGGAGCTCAGACCCTTCATCTGTAATGGGCACGGTCTTTACTGAAACCACCTCCCTCCAGGGGAGGTTGTGGGGATTAAGTGAGCCATGTGCAAAGTGCCTGAAGTCCACCCGGCGTGCACAGCACCTGCCGAGGGCTTCTGGTTCCTTTGCAGCCTGCCACCTTGCTCTTGTTTCCTTCCTGCCTTCCTCAGGCCCAGCAGTGAGGTTCTTAGTGAGGCAGCTCCACTTGCAAAGGCCACCAGGGCCCACTGCTCCCCATCTTTAGCACCAGTGCTTTCCGAAGCTGCACAACCTCGACTTACCAGGTGGGCAGTGAGAGGAGCCAGAGCAGAGGCTGCTGTGAGCAGGCATGGGGTCACCCACAGTCACCGGTGCTGATGGCACTTGGTACCTGGCAGGCATGGGCATCCCCAGGGGTGAGGGTGGTTTCTGTGGCTGTGGAGAAAGATTAATATTTAATTAATTTAATTAATTAACAATTAATAATTAATTGTCAGCTTTGAATAATCTGTGTCCACAAGGAAAGAACTTGCAGCCTTAGTCAGCTAAGGGCTTTTGGTGGGGAGCGGGGGGTGGGGGAAAGGGGTCCCTGGAAGCTAAGGAGGATGGGTCGGATGGCAGAGCAAGAAGTAAAGGCAGCTGCATTCTATACTATGAAGGAGAACTCCTCCAGATGGAGGGCCTGTCAGGCCTGTGCTAGGCCCTTTAAGGGCCTCAGCTTATCTGACCCCTCAGTGACCTGGAAGATGCACCCCTATGCATTTCATAAAATCTAAGAGTGCTTGATTGAAAGACACATCATTGGCTGGGCACAGTGGCTCACACCTGTAATCCCAGCACTTTGGGAGGCTGAGGTGGGCGGATCACGAGGTCAGGAGATCGAGACCATCCTGGCTAACATGGTGAAACCCCATCTCTACTAAAAGTACAAAAAAACTAGCCGGGCATGGTGGCAGGCGCCTATAGTCCCAGCTACTCGGGAGGCTGAGGCAGGAGAATGGCGTGAACCCAGGAGGTGGAGCTTGCAGTGAGCCCATATCGCGCCACTGCACTCCGGCCTGGGTGACAGAGTGAGATTCCGTCTCAAAAAAAAAGAGAAAGACACATCATTATTTTATGTCCTACTAAGAAAGCTGTAAATTAAACTATGATACATCAATGGTTGTAAGTACATCCTGATTGAAGAAATGTTAAAATAGGTGTCTTTGAATCAATGAATAAGGTATTATTTCCATTTTAGTTGAGCAAGTGGAATCTCAGAGAGGTTTAGCAACCTGCTCTAAAAAACAAGTAGGAGTTGGAATTAGAATCTGATCCTAGGCCTGTTCTTCCTGCCACAACATAGGAAGCTTCCTCCACACTGTTTCTGCCATGATGAAAAACATATATTGCAGGTGGTTAAAGATCAACACAAAAAAAGGAGAAACAAAATTATCAAAGTAATAAAAGAAAATATGAGACTCTGTTGGGGGAGAGTGAAGCCTTTCTTAGAATAAAGCACAACAAGGAAAAGAAAAAGAAAAAGAAACATGACTTGATTTTTATTTTATTTTATTTTTTTTGAGACGGAGTCTCACTCTGTTGCCCAGGCTGGAGTGTAGTGGCGCGATTTCGGCTCACTGCAAGCTCTACCTCCCGGGCTCACGCCATTCTCCTGCCTCAGCCTCCTGAGTAGCTGGGACTACAGGCACCCTCCACCATGCCCGGCTAATATTTTTTGTATTTTTAGTAGAGATGGGGTTTCACCATGTTAGCCAGGATGGTCTCGATCTCCTGACCTCGTGATCTGCCTGCCTCGGCCTCCCAAAGTGCTGGGATTACAGATGTGAGCCACCGCGCCTGGCCAACATAACTTGATTTTTAAAAATCTTAATAAAAGATGCCAAACTTAAAAAAAGAATGAAACTGGATTTAAATAGAAAAATATTTGCAACATATATAACAGGCAAAGGATTAGTATCCAGAAAATATAATGAAGTGCTCCAAATCAACTAGCAAAAGACAAACAACCAATAGAAAAATGAAGGAAAAAAAATGAACAAGCAATTGCAGGAGGGAAATTTCAAATCACAATGAAGATGCGAAAATACATTCAACTTCACTAATAAACCACTTCCACTCAAATTAAAGCAATCAGATTAGCAAGAGTTAGGAGAGTCTAAGAGTAGCCATGTTAATGAGGACCCAGGGAAAGAGATTCTCTCCCACACTACAAAGAGTGAGACACACAGCGGGACTGAGTGCCTGTCCCTTTCCAATGCTTCTGCAGGTTCCCGAAGAGCTTGGGCAGATGGGGATGGGGTGGTGGTGTCTTAGTCCAGGCTGCTATAAGAAATTATCACACACTGAGTAGTTTAAACAACAAACATTTCTCACAGCCCTGGACTCTGGATGTCTGAGGTCAGGGAGCCAGCATGGTCAGGGGTCTGATGAGAGCCCTCTTCCTGGATGCCAATGGCTGACTTCTGTATCCTTACATGGTGGAAAGAAAGTGTGCTAGCTCTCTGGCCTCTTCTTATAAAGGCACTAATCCCATTCATGAAAGTTCCATTTTGTTGACCTAATTACCTCTTGCCCTAATTACCTTCCAAAGGCCATACCTCCTAATACCATTACACTGGGACTAGGGTTTCAATGTATGAATTGCAGGGGTACACAAACATTCAGAATTTCAGACCATTGTTAGAGAACAGAGGCTCATGCCCAGGGTCACACAGCTGGTCAGTGATCAGTGGACCAGCAGGGAGCCTGAGTTTCGGTGCAGTTTCCCTTTCCTTCCCTTCTCCCAGCTGCTGCCAAAAGCCCAGGGACTGTTTGAACAGGACTGACTTTTGCTCCACTTTGCATGGAGGGAGGTGCCTCTCCTGCGCTACTTCAGGACTCCAGCTGGTGGATGCTGACCTGAGCTGCCCTAGCTTCCTGTCTCTCCCCTGGGATTCTTTTCTGTCCCCTCATTTCAGGATGCTAACGCTGTCCCCTCCCTGCTTCCCCATCTCTGCACCTCCCTGCTTCCACTTCCAGCCTGGAGGACAGCAGGGGCAGCTCGTGAGAAAGGCCACCAGCTGCTTATCTCGGCACTCCCTGTAACCCAATCCCAGCTCTCACTCCAGCTCAGAGGAGCTGGGTGGAAGTAGCAGGTTGTAGGCATCTACCTGTCCCTCTGCTATCTCTCCGAGTGGCTAGCATTACTGCTTTCCAGGTTTTTCTCACCTAAGAATCAGCAAAGCTTCCTATGGTTTTCCCATTTGGAAACAGATTTTGCCTTAGATGTTGGGGTCTAAATTCTTTGGGTTCATTTTCATGTGTATTTACCCCATGTCGTGTTAGAATTACATAACCCTAGGCTTTAGGCATTTCTTTCTCCCCCTCTCTCTCTTTCTTTCTCTCTCTCTCTCTCTCTTGCTCTCTCTCTCTTTCTTTCTTTGAGACGGAGTTTTGCTCTTGCTGCCCAGGCTGGAGTACAATGGCACGATCTTGGCTCACTGCAACCTCTGCCTCCCGGATTCAAGTGATTCTCCTGCTTCAGCCTCCCGAGTAGCTGGGATTACAGGTGCCCGCCACCACACCTGGCTAATTTTTTATATTTTTTAGTAGAGATGGGGTTTCACCATGTTGGCCAGGCAGGTCTTGAACTCCTGACCTCAGGTGATCCACCCACCATGGCCTCCCAAAGTGTTGGGATTACAGGTGTGAGCCACCATGCCTGGCTGGCATCATTTATTTCTATCCTAGTATTTCACTGGTGTGCTTTTTTTCTGGGCACCATGGTGGGATTCTCACCCTCAAAACTGTGAGATGCTAAAGATTTAGGATGTCCTGTCCCTTGTCCCCAGGACATGTGCAGCTCCCTCATTTTACAGATTAAGCGATTTTGATCCCAGAGATTTTAAGGAACAGGACTGACAGCAGGGTCTGGGCTCCTCACTGGCACATTGATTCTGCTGTGTCTCTGTATTGAACAAATTGCAGACAGGGAAGTAGGGGTTGGAGGTGGGGCGTTGTGGATTTCCCAATGACAGTTACACCAAGTCCTGCTACACGTGGGGCATCATGGCCCCGGTGGGAGCTGTTCTTGGGTTTGTTCTTGTTCTAGCAAGAGAGGGTCCAGGCTTCATAGGAGGTGTGTCCTTGAGCTGGGGTAGAGGGGGCGCCATTTCACAGTTACAAGGTTGGAGGGAGTGATGGTGGTGGCTTAGCGTGACCAGCCCCATGTCTGTGTTGCTCATACACAGCAAAGGCAGTGCTGAATACAATATCAAATAGCCTGGCACTATTGGCAGCAGCCCCTGTGCCCACAGAGTGCTGGACTTTTGCCTCCTTTATGCCAGAGGCATGTATGACAGTAAGAGTGTCTGGGTTCCAATTTTGGCTACCCACTTTCTAACTGTGGCTGTTTCCCACTTATTAATTTGGCTTTGGTAAGATACTCATGAGTCTCTGAGCCTAAGTTTCCTCTTACCTAAACTGGAGATGATGATAATAAGTTCTGCATCCCAGATTTGTAAGGAAGACGAAATGATGGTCCCAGTGAAGCAAAGTATGTTGTGAGTACTTGATAAACATTAGCAGAGCACATTCCTCCTGTGCTTAGTGGAGTTCTAGAAGAACTTTTCCAGAAGACTGAAGTTCCAGAAGATTAAAGTTTACAGCTTAGAACAAAAGGCATCTGTGTTAAGAGAACACATCGCTGTTGGGGCAGCCGCTTCCTCGCAGGATTCTCTGAGAGGGGCCGTATCCTCAGCATGGGTCCTGCCTTTAGGAGCTGGTGCTGTAGGCACAGAGGGGGACATCTGCACTGTATCTTGTGGTCCATAGTGTCTCCTGGTTTCTTACTGTTCTGAAGTTCTGATTCAATCTCTTTATAACCAGCTAGCATTACCAAATGTGTCAGTTCAGGTTCTCCAGAGAAACAGAACCAATTGGATGTACGTGTGTGTGTGTGTGTGTGTGCTTACATAATTATTTTAGTTTGTTTTAAGGAATTGGTTCATGTGATTGTGGGGCTTGTCAAGTCTGAAATCTGTAGGACAGCCCAGCAAGGTGGAAACTCAAGCAGCATTTCTATGTTACAGTCTTGAGGCAGAATTTCATCTTGGGGAAATCTCCATTTTTTTGCTCTTAAGGCTTTTAACTGCTTGGGTGAGGCTTACCCACATGTGGAAGGTAATCTGCTTTATCTAAAGTCAACTGATTGAAAATGCTAATAACATCCATAAAATGGCTGGGCGCGGTGGCTTACGCCTGTAATCTCAGCACTTTGGGAGGCCGAGGCGGGTGGATCACAAGGTCAGGAGATCAAGACTATCCTGGCTAACACGGTGAAACCCCGTCTCTACTAAAAATACAAAAAATTAGCCGGGCGTAGTGGTGGGCACCTGTAGTCCCAGCTACTCAGGAGGCTGAGGCAGGAGAATGGCGTGAACCCAGGAGGCGGAGGTTGCAGTGAGCCGAGATTGCGCCACTGCACTCCAGCCTGGGCGACAAGGCGAGTCTCAAAAAAAAAAAAAAAAAAAAAAAAATCCATGAAATAACTTTACAGTAAAACCTAAGCAACTAGGCACTATAACCTACTTAAGTTGACATAAAATTCACCATCACAGCATGTAATTAATTCCACTCATATGTAGCAAGGACCTACTGTGTGCAGTGTGCTTCCGCTATGAGAGATGCCAGGGTTTTGCTCATCAGACTCCTACAATATAGCTGGGTGGCCAGGCTTTTCAATAAGGACATCCTTTAGGAGGATTCTTCCAAATCATCTCCAAGAGAACAAGAACAGCAAGTACGGTCTAGAACCAGGAAGCTGTCTGCAGCCAGAGTTGTTTCTCTCCCCGCCTACTGTTCACATTTCTCTCCCTGCCTACTGTTCACATTTCTCTCTGTGCACTTGCTTCTGCAGACCAGGTTCCAATGCTGTCCATCTGCAAACACAGCCCCCTAATGCTGTCCAGGGTCTGAATCCATGTGGCCTTCCATTTCCAAGATCCATTATTGTCTTTAAACTGAGAGGCTTCATGCCTCTCAGTTTGAATTCCATTCAGTGGGAGTCTGATTGGTCTAGCTCTGGTGCATACCTGTGAGTAAAGAAGCTGAGGTCATGGAGGAGGAGGGGTTGCTGCTGCTTTTCCGTTGAATGTCGTGGGGAAATTGCTAATATCTCTGCTGTGAACCGTTTTGTCCTAGTCGGCCTGAAGCTTTCCTAGTTTTAAAACTGAAAGTCCTGCATCTGAGGAAGGCCCTCAGTTCCAAGCAAACTGGTACTATTGGTCACCCTACCTCTGCTATGTTAAACACACCCACGTGAAAGCTTCAGAAGAAAATGTGGGTTTAAGAACAGGTGGGTTTAAGAACAGGCGTGTTCGTGCCATATTAGTGCAGAGGAGGAAGGTAAGAGAAGGAAAATCTCCCTAGGTTATTTCTGGATGCAGTGACCTTGCAGCTGGGTTGTGAAGGAAACCCAGGTAAGACGATGTGATGAACATTTATGGCTTGGGCTTTCCAGCATTGTTAAGTGGAAAGTGCCTTTTTATTTGCAGGGAAATCTGAGTATATATACATATATGACCTTTCTCACTCCTTGACAGCTACAATGTGGACGTATATATGGTGCAAATTAAGAGTCAAGTTCTTTTTTTTTTTGCACATGAATGTCTAATTTTTCTAGTACTATTTGTTGAAAAAAATCCTTTCTCCATTGCATTATCTTGGCACTGTTGAAAAGCAATTGACCATGTACGTGTGGGACTATTTCAGGACTCTCCATACTATTTCATTGATTGTGTATGTCTACTCTTGCACAAATACCACATTGGCTGTTGCTTTATGATAAATCTTCAAACAGTACCTTTATAGTAAATCTTAAAACAAATTGCATGAGTCATTCAGCTTTGTTCTTTTCAACATTGTTTTGACTATTCTAGGTCCTTTGCTTTTACACATAAGTTAGAATTAGCTTGTCAATTCTGTAAAAAGCTTTCTGGGAATCTGTAGATCAACCTGGGATGAATTGGCACATTAACACTATTGAGTTTTTCAATCCATGAAAAAGGTGTATTGCTCCATTTATTTAGGTCGTCAATTTCTTTCAGCAATGTTTTGTAGATTAGATCACACATTTTGTTAATATCTCTTAGTATTTCATGTTTTCTGATGCTATTGTAAATGGCACCTTAAAATTTAACTTTTAATTATTTGTTGCTAAAATACAGAAATACAATGGATTTTTGTGTATTAACCTTATAGCTTGTGACCTTGCTAAAAATCACTGATTAATTTGAATATCTTTTTTTGGTAGATTCTTTGAGATTTTATAGGTAAATGATTATGTCATATGCAAATGGAGACAAATTAAGTTTTCTCTTCAATATTCACAACTTTTATTTAATTTTCTTGCCTTATTGTACTGATTAGGGTCTTCAGTCTAATGTTAAATAGATATGGAGAGAGCTAACAACCTTGCCTGTTCCTAATCTTAGAGGGAAGTATTCAATCTCCGGTCATTAAGTATGATGTTAACTGTAGGTTTTCATAGATGCATTTATCAGAGTGAGGAACTACCCTCTATTTCTAGTTTGCTGAGAATCTTTACTAGGAATGGATATTGAATTTGTCAAATGTTTTTCTGTAACTACTGAGATGATCATAATTTGTTCTTTTTTAGTCTGCTGATAGGACTATTTTGATCGATTTTTGAATGTTGAACCAACCTTAAATTCCTGATAAAATCATATATGGTCATGATAATTTATCCTTTTTATATATTTCTGAATTTAATTTGCTAATACTTTATTAAGATTTTAAAAAATCTGTGTGATAGATATTGTTCTGTACTTTTCTTGAAATGTGTTTAGTTTAATATCAGGGTAATGTCAACCTGAAGAAATGTGTTAGAATATATTCTCTCCTCTTCCATTTTCTGGAAGTGTTTGTATGCATTTGGTATTATTTCTTCCTTAAATGTTTGATGGAATTTACCAGTAATGTCTTTCATTGTGGGCAGATTTTAACATATAAATTCAAGTTCTATAGTGGACATAGAGCTATTCAAGGTGTATGTTTCTTCTTTAGTGAACTGTTGTATATTTTGCATCTTTCAAATAATTTGCTTATTTTATCTAAGTTATCAACTTGATATAAAGTTGCTCATAAAATTCCCTTGTCTGTA
Organism: Homo sapiens; assembly: GCF_000001405.40. NCBI lineage: Eukaryota > Metazoa > Chordata > Mammalia > Primates > Hominidae > Homo > Homo sapiens. The sequence goes on from NC_000010.11 coordinate 80,557,673, forward strand.
GGATCTTTAGTGATGACCTCTCTTTCATGCCTGAAAGTTGTGTCTTCTCTCTTACTATCTTGATCAGTCTGCTGAGAAATTTATCAATTTCGCCAGTGGCTTCAAAAACTAATTTTCGTTTGTTTTATTGTGGTTTCTTTTTGTTTCTCTGTTTTCCATTTTATCAGTTTCTACCATTATCTTTATTATTTCTTTCTTACTTTTACTTTTGGATTTAATTTGTTCTTGTTTTCAAGTTTCTTAGTGTGGGAGCTTAGACCATTGATTTGAAACATTCCTTTCTAATATAAGCATTTGATGCTATAAATGTCTTTCAGTGCCCTGCTTTAACTACATCACATGAATTTTTACATGTTATTTAAAATATTTCTTCAATTAAAATATTTTATAATTCACCTTGTGATTTTTTTTTTAAAATTCATGGGCTACTTAGAATTGTGTTCTTTAGTTTCTGAATATTTGAAAGAAATTTTTTCAAGTATCTTTTTGTCATTGATTTCTAGATTTATTCCACTGTGGTCAGAGAACATAACACACATGATTTCAAATATTTTATGCTTGTTGATTTTTTTTTCAATAGCTGAGAATCCTATCTATCTGGGTGAATGTTCTGTATGTACTTGAAAGAGAAAGTATTCAGCTGTCATGTGAAGTGTTCCATAAATGTCAGTTAAGTTGGTTGATAAAGCTGTTTAGATCTTCTATAGCTTAATTTTTCCTACTTATCCTATTAATCACCAGAGGAAACTTTTTAAAAAGCAGCTTTATTGAGATGTTATTAATATGCCATATAATGATCATGCATTTATTTATTTATTTATTTATTGAGAAAGAGTCTCACTTTGTCACCCAGGCTGGAGTGCAGTGGTTCAGTCTTGGGTCACTGCAACTTCCATCTTCTGGGCTCAAGTGATTCTCCCACCTCAGCCTCTCAGTTGCTGGGACTACAGGTGCGTACCACCACATACCCAGCTAATTTTTGTTTTTTTCTTGGTAGAGACAGGGATTTGCCATGTGGTCAAGGCTGGTCTTATGTGGTTAAGGCTGGTCTTGAACTCCTGGGCTCAAGCAATCTGTCCAACTTGGCTTTCCAAACTGCTAGGATTACAGGTGTGAGCCGCTGCACACAGCCTTAAGTCATGCACTGAAAGCATACAATTTAATAGTTTTTAGTATGTTCATAGATATGTGCAACCATTTGTTGCTTGTACTTTTGCTGTCATATTTAAGAAACCCTTGTTTCTGAGGTCATGAAGGTCTAACCGGAGCATGAAGATTTATGCTTATATCTATAATTTTCAGTTATTAAGATAGAGTAGCACATAATATTCTTTTATAATCACTTCTTGTTTTATATTGTCTTTTCATTTCTAATGGTATATATTTTTGTTTTATTTAATTTTTACTTAGGTATGCCAGGCAGTTTCTTATTTTATTACATTTTCCAAAAAACAAATGTTTAGTTGTATTTATACTATATATGCTTTGTATTTTACTAATCTTAGCTTTTGTCTTCATTTGTTCCTTCTTCCTACTCTCTTTTATCTTATTTTATTGTTCTTTTTCTAATATCTCAAATTGAAAATTAGCTTATTCACATTATATCTTTTTTACAATGCTTTTAAAATTTCTCATTATAAAACATTTGAATGAACAGGCACAGTAGAAAATAATATTATAAATACCCATGGGCCCACAGTATATTTATCAAATGTTAACGTTAGTGTCTTATTTGTTTTTATTTAAACAATTCAGATTCAGTTGAGACCTACTTTGGTGCCTTTCTACAATCTTGCTCCCCATCTCTTATGCAACCCTTATTGCAAATTCAATGTTTATCATGCTTATATCTGTTTCTTACTGTAATATAGACTTTGTCCATAAGCAATATGTTGCTTAATCATTATATAAATGGCATTATATGATTATACTATGATAACCTGAATTTAATTTTGTGGTCCTGCATTTTTTTTTTTTTTTTTTGAGACAGGGTCTCACTCTATCACCCAGCCTATAGTGTAGTGGTATGATCATGGCTCACTGTAGCCTTGACCTCCTGGGCTCAAAGGATCCTCCTGCCTAAGCCTCCCGAGTAGCTGGAACTACACGCATGCACCACCACGTCTGGCTAATTTTTTTACATTTTGCAGAAATAGGGTTTCACTGTGTTCCTAGGCTGGTCTCAAACTCCTGGGCTCAAGTGATCCTCCCACCTTTGCCCCCCCAGAGTGGTTCTGCATTTTTAAAAGAGCTGTAACTATGTTGTTGAAATCTATTTTCTTGCTATATAGTACTGTATTTTTAAAATACACCTTTTTTTTTTTTTTTTTTTTGAGACGGGGTCTGGCTCTGTCGACCAGGCAGGAGTGCAATGGCGTGATCTCAGCTCACTTCAAGCTCCGCCTCCCAGGTTCACGCTATTCTCCTGCCTCAGCCTCCCGAGTAGCTGGGACTACAGGTGCCCGCCACCTCGCCCGGCTAATTTTTTGTATTTTTAGTAGAGACGGGGTTTCACCATGTTAGCCAGGATGGTCTCGATCTCCTGACCTCGTGATCCACCTACCTCGGCCTCCCAAAGTGCTGGGATTACAGGCGTGAGCCACCGTGCCCGGCTGCACCTTTTTTTTATTTTTATTTTTTAAAGTAAGGCTATTCATCATTTTTCAATTCATGTATAGGAATTATTTATATATTCTTAGATTTTTTTTTTTTTGAGACAGAGTCTTGTTTTGTCACCCAGGCTTTGGTATAATGGCATGATTATAGCTCACTGCAGCCTTGAACTCCTGGGGCTCAAGCCATCCTCCAGCCTAAGCCATCCTCCAGCCTCAGCCTTCCAAGTAGTTGGGACTATAGGTGCATACCACCACACCTGGCTAATTTTTTTTTACTTTTTGTAGAGACAGGGGGTCTTGCTTTGTGACCCAGGCTGGTCTTGAACTCCTGGCTTTGAGCAATTCTCCTGCCTTAGCCTCTCAAAATGCTGGAATTATAGGCCTGAACCACCGTTCCTGGCCAAGCTTTTTTTTTTTTTTTTTTTTTTTTTTTTAGGATTTTGTAAGACAATTAAGCTCTGATACACTGGTGGTGATTCTCAAAGTGTTGTTCCTGAATTCCTGGGGTCTGTGAGGATTTTCCTGGAGGTCTTCAAGGTCAACACTATTTTCACAATAACACTAAGAGGTTATTTACTTTCTTTTATCTTTACATTTGTACTAATAATGCAAAATCAATAGTGAGTGAATCTTTGGTGGTAGTCATTGTATTTTTCACCATCACACACTCTCGATAAAATCAATGATGGTTTCATTCCTTGGTGAAACAGTAAACTTCGTACTGTGTGACAAAATGGGAAGTATGCATGAAGCATTTCTGTTGCAAACTGATGTATGATGAGTGTTTTGAGAAAAGCATGTGTGATTGTTCAAATTATTTGCTGAACTAGCCTCTTTATTTGTGGAACACCATTTTTACTTGAAGAAACACTGACAGACAAGCTATATATGTTTTTTCAGACTTGGGTATTTGAAAATAAAGTGAATCTGTCACTTCAAGGAAAACAACGGATAGAATTCATGCCAATGATAAAAATTCAGCTTTAAAGCAAAAATTAAAATTTTTGGAAAACTTGTGTCTGCCACAATGGGCTTATTAGTTTCCAAATACATAATGACTTTTCTTGTAAGATTCATGGTGATATTTACAAATGTGACTTTTCAGATGTTGCAAAATAAAATAAGTCAGTGTTTGGAAGATCTGCTTGACTCAATGAACCAATATTCTCTAAAGAACCAATGAGTAATGTTGCAAAATTATGCATGGGTAAAAGATTCATTCAAAATGAAAAATAAACCAATGGATTTTCAACTTATTTTGCTTTTTAAATATTAAACTTTTTATTTTGAATTAACTTTAGACTTACAGAAGAGTTGCAAAGTAGTTCAGAGAATTCTCATATACCCAGCTTCCTTTTATGGTAACATGTTATGTCACTAAGGTACCCTGATCAAAACTAAGAAATTAACATGGCTAATAAATATCAATACAACAAAGTACAATAAATTTATTGATATGGTTTCAGATACCACATTGCAACTAACATTTAAGAAACTACAACTTGTTTGAGTTTTGATGTAGTATCAGAGATTATCTGAAAAAAATGATTAATTCCTTTTTCTTTTTTCCCAACTACATAACTGGATGAAGTCCAATTTTTCAAAATATACTTCAACCAAAATTACATTTTGCAACAGACTGAATGCAGGAGCAGATATGAGTAATCCACCTGCTTTCTATTAAGCTGGGCATTGAATAGATTTGCAAAAATGTAAAGCAAGGCCACTCACTCTTCCAATTACACACACACACACACACACACACACACACACACATATATAAAAATTCCAAAATCTCCTAATCCCCCTCCCTGCCCACAGCCCCCATCCCCTAGTAACAACTTTAAAAAATTCCACATGCAAGTGAGATAATGTGGTATTTGTCTTTCTGTGCCTGGCTCATTTCACTTAACATAATATCCTCCAGATTCATCCATGTTCTCACAAATGACAGAATTACCTTCTAAGGCTGAATAATACTCCACTGTGTACAAGTAAGTCCTTACTTAACATCACTGATAGGTTCTTGGAAACTGTGACTTTAAGTGAAATGACAAATATCAAAATCAGTTTTTTCTCATGAACGTTTTAACAAAATGACATTGAATCAAATGACATTATTTAAAAGACTGACTGTATGTTGTTTTGCTTACAGTTGCAGTTTCCAAGAACCTATCAATGATATTATGTGAGGACTTACTTAATACATACCACATTTTCTCTATCCATTTCTCTGTTTATAATCACTTAGGTTGATTCCATATCTTGGCTATTGTGCATAATGCTGCAGTGAATATGGGAGTTCAGATAACTCTTCAGCATACGGATTTCATTTCCTCTGGATATTTATCCAGTAGTGGGATAACTGGATCATAGGATACTTCAATTTGTAATTTTTTTCAGGAACCTTCATACTATTTTCCGCAATAGCTGTACTAATTTATGCTCCCACCAACAGCGTAAAAGGCTCCCTTTTCTCAACATCCTCTTCCACATTTGTTACCTTTCATCTTTTTGATAATAGCCATTCTTACAGGTGTGAGGTGATATCTCAATGTGGTTTTAATTTGCATTTCTCTGATGACCTATGATGCTGAACATTTTTTCTTTTTTTTTTTTTTTTTTTTTTTTTGAGACGGAGTCTCGCTCTGTCGCCCAGGCTGGAGTGCAGTGGCGGGATCTCGGCTCACTGCAAGCTCCGCCTCCCGGGTTCACGCCATTCTCCTGCCTCAGCCTCCCAAGTAGCTGGGACTACAGGCGCCTGCCACTACGCCCGGCTAATTTTTTGTATTTTTAGTAGAGACGGGGTTTCACCGTTTTAGCCGGGATGGTCTCGATCTCCTGACCTTGTGATCTGCCCGCTTCGGCCTCCCAAAGTGCTGGGATTACAGGCGTGAGCCACCGCGCCCGGCCGATGCTGAACATTTTTTCATATACCTGTTGGCTATTTGTATGCCTTCCTTTGAGAAATATCTATTCTAGTCTTTTGCCAATTTTTTAAATTGGGTTATTTGTTTTCTTCTGTTGAGTTGTTTGAGTCCTTATATATTTTGGATATTAACCCTTTATCAGATGTATGGTTTGCAAATATTTTCTTCCATCCTGTAGATTATCTCTTTACTCTGTTAATTGTTTCCTTGGCTGTGCAGAAGCTTTGTAGTTTGACATTATCCCATTTGTCTATTTTTGCTGTTGTTGCATGTGCTTTTGAGTTTATAGCCAAAAAATAATTGCCCAGATCAATGCCATTTTACCCTGTTTTTCAATTACATATTTGTTTTAGAATACATCATTATTTTTCATTAAATATTATGCAGTATATGTTAATATATGATGATTTACCATTATTTGAAATAAATATTTAAAATTTTCTCAGTTTTAACTAGGGGAAATATTGATAGATATAACCCACAACAACAGAAGCTCTTTGTGATACTCAGTATTTTTAAAGAATGTACAGGGGCTCTAAGAGCTAATTATTTGATAACTCTTGTCCTAAAGGATGCATTATATGTGCTGAGTTAACTCTCCCACAAGGCATATAGGTTGGTACTATCTATATATCATCCTTAGGAAAATTGAGAAAAGGCATCATTCAAATTATGTTTCATAGGGCTTATTTCTCTTACAGAACCCCAATCAAGAAAAATTGTCCTGGATTTCCATACGTTGGTACATATAAAACACGTTGAACTGCAATTAGTAGCTAAGCCCTCTATAGATGTTAGCTGTTATTATTACTTTTATTAATAGTTGTGATCATTTGATGGTTACAGGTATTTAAATGTTTTCTCTCATTTGGTGTTTTGATTTTTAATTGTCTTTATGATGTGTTTTTTGTGTGTAGAAATTTTAAACCTTAATCTGTATTCAAATTTATCAACATTGCATCTTGCAGCTTATTCTTTTTATGTCTTGTAGAACAAATTCTTCCCTTTCCCAAAGTTATAATGATGTGCTTTTATATCTTCCTTTAAATGTTTTCAAGTTTCCAAGTCTTCCTTTTCACAGGCTTAGGAAACCACTCATGTCAAGATCACCAGAGACCTCCATGTTGCTGAATCCAGCGTCCAATTATCAGCCCTCCCCTCATCTACCCATTAGCCGCACTTGCAAGATTCCTTTCTCCTTGCTTCCTGAAATTCTTTCTCCACTTGGCTTGGGATACTGCACTCACAGGTTATTCTCCTGCCTCACAGGCCTCTCTCTCCAGGTCTCCTTTGGGTCCTCCTCCTCTTGAAGTATTGGAGTGTCTCTCCTGGGACAATGTCCTTGGGCATCTTCCGTTTTCTACCAATTCTCACTCTCTAGCTGATCCCATCCATTTCCTTGGCTTTAAATATCATCTGTACACTGATGACTCAAAAAGTTTATTTCTTAGTCCCATCCTTTCCCCTGAATCCTATTTTATTCAACTGCCTGTTGAGTGTCTAATAAGCATGTCAAACAATTTGGCCAAAACAGAATATTGATATCTCCAGCCTCTTTCTTCCATGTTCTCCATTTTAGTAACATAACCATTAATTTTGTGGCTTAAGCCAAAACATTCATTCTATTGTTAAAAGGAAAACTTCAGCTGAAGTAAATTATAGGAATTTAATTGAGGAATGAATGATTTGCCAATCGGGCAGCACTCAGAATCACAGCAGATACAGAGAGACTCCAGGGATGCCTCATGGTCAGAACAAATTTATAGACAAAAAAAGGGACATTGGAAGTGAGGTACAGAAACAGGTGGATTGGTCACAGGTTGGCATTTGCCTTATTTGAGCACAGTTTGAACACTCAGCAGTCTATGAGTGGCTGAAGTATGGCCGCTGGGATTGGCCAAGACTCCCCTGTTGTTACAGGCTGATACTCCTAAGTTACGGTTTCAGTCTTGTATACCTATTAAGTTAGGTTATGGTTCGTCCACAAGGACTCAAATAGAGAACAACAGAGTCCTTCTCAGGCCATATTTAGTTTGCTTTCACACTATCTAACTTTATTTTTGTGCCCATTAACCATCCCCTGTACCCCCCACCCCCAGCCCCACTACCCTTCCCAGCCTCTGGTAACCATCATTCTACCCTCTATCTCCATGAAGAACTTTATTTCTTTTCCTTTTTTTTTTTCTTTTAAAGAGACATGTTCTTGCCCTCTTACCCAGGCTGGAGTGAGTGCAGTGGTGTAATCATAGCTCACTGCAGTCTCCAGCTCCTGGGCTCAAGGGATCTTCCTGCCTCAGCCTCCCTGCTAGCTGGGACTAGAGGCATGCACCACCACACCCAACTGAAGAACTTTATTTCTTAAATTTCCTTATTTTTCTCAGATGACAAGAAATCTGGGGGTGTGCTGCAATGGGTAATACTAGTTTAGCTGCTCGATAAGATCACCAAGGATCCCTTCCCTTCTATCTTTTGCCTCCCCATCCTTAGCATGTGGCTTTTATCCTCATGGTTGCAAAAGTTTTCCAGTGGCTCCAGGAATCACTGCTTCATTCCTGGCAGGAAGAAGAAGGTCGGGTAAAAGAGTGAAGAGTGGCCGGGCGTGGTGGCTCACGCCTGTAATCCCAGCACTTTGGGAGGCCGAGGCGGGCGGATCACGAGGTCAGGAGATCAAGACCATCCTGGCTAACACGGTGAAACCCCGTCTCTACTAAAAATACAAAAAAATTAGCCAGGCGTGGTGTTGGGCGCCTATAATCCCAGCTACTCCGGAGGCTGAGGCAGGAAGATGGCGTGAACCCAGGAGGCGGAGCTTGCAGTGAGCTGAGATCGCGCCACTGCACTCCAGCCTGGGTGACAGAGCGAGACTCCGGCTCAAAAAAAAAAAAAAAAAAAAAAAAAAAAGAGTGAAGAGGGAAGGGGTTTCTCCTAAGAAGACTTATCCAGTTTGTTTGGAGAAGAAGAGCCCTTTACATGGAACGTCTGCCTACATCTTCTTTGTCAGAAATGGGGACATCTTGTCACTCATAGATGAATCACTTGCCAATGAGAATAATATTACCTGATGGGATTAGATCAATTTCTTTTTTTTTTTTTTTTGAGACCGAGTCTCACTCTGTTTCCCAGGCTGGAGTGCAGTGGCGTGATCTTGGCTCACTGCAACCTCTGCCTCCTAGGTTGAAGCAATTCTCCCACCTCAGCCTCCCGAGTAGCTGGGATTACAAGCATGCACCATCATGCCCAGCTAATTTTTGTAGTTTTAGTAGAGATGGGGTTTCATCATATTGGCCAAGCTGGTCTGGAACTCCTGACCTCAGGTGATCTGCCCACCTTAGCCTTCCAAAGCGCTGGGATTACATGCGTGAGCCACTGCGCCCTGCCAAATCAATTGTTATTTGTCCTTTGAGGTTGGGGTCAAAACTCACCTTTCCTAAAAGAGGGGGGATCTCTGCTGCTCCCTGAACAACTTGGGGTTCTGTGGTGAGGCAAGCGTGGAGGGTGGGTAGTTAATTGGCAGTGTCTGCTGTAATAGCTACCCATTTTTTGCTGCTTTATCTTTTCCCCTTGCTTAGCAGGATTGGTAATCCTCTTATCATTTATTTTTACCCACTATTAATTTGAAAGTTTTATAATTCTAAGCAGTGGTTGCCTCTCTGTTTCTATCAGTTATAATTAAATCGGTGTTTCTTTACTATATATTGCTTGTAACATACTTAAAAATAGCAATGCACTCCTATATATATCTGGAGAATTACTGCTGTCTTGCGCATGTAGAAAAACCTGAAATTTCAGTAGATTAATATGATGAAGGTTTATTACTTAACTATTTCACAGTTTGATGTGGGTTGGATATTTCTTCTGTGTGGCTTGCTTTCGAATATTGGATCATGGATCAGGCTGCTTTTTTTCCGTGAAATTCCACCATTTATTTCCAGCTGGGTGGACAAGAGTGAAAATGTGGAAAAGGCACACCCGCTGCTAACCACCTTAGCCTGAAAATGGCACAAATCCCTTCCCTGACATTCCGTGGACTAGAATTCGATCACATGGTCCCACTGTACTGAAGGGAAGTTGAGGAATGTAGTCAGTCATCTGTGGGCTGAGGAAGAGACATAGGGTGGTGGACATTGCATTGTCACTGTCCTAAATTGTCATTCTGGCCATCCACACATTTCATTCTTCTCCTCCATCTAAAATACACTCACCACCTCTTATAGGGGACACCTTCAGGTCCCAGCCAGTCACTGCATCCAGCTGAAAGTCCACTGTCTCTGGGGTTCTGCACTGGTCTCTATCAGGTCTGAATGTGCTGAGAAGACATATCATTTAAATACCTGTCACCCCTAAGGCACTATATACAGTGCTGGAGCAGGGTCAGAATACCCACTAAGGAAATGCCACCTGGAAAAGTGGAGAACGTGAGAGCCACAGTCTCCAGTCTATAGCATTTCTGAAGTCCTACAGGTCAGGACCGCAAAGTTTCCCTGCCTTGCAGTGAAGAGAATTCCTTGAGTGAACACTGACTTCAGCCTGGATGAGGCTTTTTGTCTGATTCCCCTTGGCCTCCTCTGAAGGGAGTGTTGAGGATCACACCCTCTAGACCAGTGTAGCCTTTGAAACCTGCCTGCTGGTCATCAAACTTGGATGCCCAAGGGCCATTTAAGTCATGAACAACCAAAGATTTTTTAATCCAGGCTCAAAAACTTAGGGGGCTTCTGTTCGCTTCCATGTCCCAGTAACAACATCTAAAATTCTTTCCTAGACATATTTCTCAACTCGACATTCTTCCTTTGTCCCTTCATCTCTGTGCCTCTCTGTTTCACCTGAAGGACATCTTCCTTGAAGCTTTTTCTAAAAATAAGTGTGAGAGATCACACTTTTTTTTTTTTTTGAGACAGAGTCTTGCTCTGTCGCTCAGGCTGGAGTGCAGTGGCGCAATGAGAGATCACGTTCTTAATGTGGCTATGTTAGTCTGGTTTCTCCAAGGAGTACAGACAGGATGGGATTAATCATGCAAGGGTTTTATTAAGGGAAATGTCTGGGAGAGAAAAAGGGCAGGGAGCTGGAGGAGGCTGAGGGAGTCATTGTAAGCTTGACCTTGAGTGAAGGAGAGGGCAAGGGACAGTGGGCAGAGGTGTTGCAGGCAGCTGTGCAGTCCAGGGAAAGCAATCTTTCGGCAAGGAGGTGGGTGTCTCCTGGGAATGAGCCTAGCATCCTCAATAAAAGGCTAACAGCAGCCTCTGGGAAGCAGGGCCTTGGGCAAACGCAAGGGCACAGGAGCTGCGGGGCTTGGTCAGTGATGCTCCTTGTGGTTGAAGGTGGACGGAGCACATCCTCATGGTCACCATAAGAACTTCACAGAGCCTGACCTGCAGGTGCTGTGTGCCCTTCGTCACTTTATTCACCTTAGAAGTTTTCCTGTGCTCTGTCATACAAAACCTTTAAAAATCCCATCTCTTGCAATGTCGGTCCTGGTATATGAAGAGATGCTTTTTCAATCCTACAACATCTCAAATTTCTGTATTTGTTCTATTCCCTTTCTTTCAGCTTGCAAAGCACTCAGTTCTTTCTTGAATTCATTTCTTTCTGTTAACACCTTGCCAAACACAGTCACTAGCAACCAACACTTATTCCTAATGTTCTATTTTTCAACCTCCTCCCTTAGAATGAAAAGTTCAGAAAGCATGGGGTCTGCTTTTGAAGTTACAGTGTCTAGCTTTTTAACTGAATGTTTTGCTGCTGCATAACATGGATCTCTAGCCTGTTAAACATCGCTCACCACCCAACTGCTAAGGCAGTAACACAGTTTATATTTCTGTTTCAGCAGCACCCTGCTTCTGGGATACATTTTTATTTTAATCCTGTAATCAGCGGAATCTGCTGCAATAGGCAAACTGAGAAATCTCAGTGGCTGAATTTAACACAGGTTTATTTCTTGCTAGTGTCACGGTCTGTTGTGGGACTGGGAGACTCAGGGCCCCAGGCTGCTTCATCTCACACCACCACCTGATTCCTTGTTTCTAGCCAGTGGACATGAGGCAGAGAGTGCAGAGCGGGCCCACCATCTCCTAACTGCCTTGGCCCGGGAGTGACACAAGTTTCTTCCTTCAGAGAGTGCTGCAATGTCCCTTGATGTTCTTGTAGCAAAGTCCAAAGCTTGTACTGCTCACAACACAACAGCCAATAAGTTGAGAGACAAGGCGTTGGGGCAAGGAAAGCAACTTTATTTCGGAGACCCAGCGAACCGAGAAGATGGCAACTAGTGTCCTAAAGAACCTCCTAAGCTAATATGAATTTTGGGTTTCTTTTATGTTAAGGGAAGGGGGAAGAGGCGGGGGGGTTGAGATCAAAGGGTGAGCAATGACTATGGACATCTGGGTGGCAGCGAGGGTAAAGTTCTTTGTCCTTGGTCAGGTCACAATGCTCTTATACATTTTTAACATGACATCGTTACTTGTGTGTACACCCTCTTTGTCTCCTGGGGGGTTCGTTTTGGGGAGGGGCTATTATCATCCTTGCTTTACAGTTAAACTATACACTAAATTCCTCCCATTGTTAGCTCGGCCTATGTGCGGAGGTAAGCAAAAGCAGTTAACCTAAAAGATATCACTGCAGGGGCCGGGAGGTTAGGAGTAAGTTGGAGCTAGTCATGCTCGGCCTCCTTTTCACTGTACATTCTCTCTGCTGGAGATGGAAGGAGAGCTCAGTCTTGGACGCCCACCCCCGCAGGCTGGTGTGGCTGTTGCGTTTCTCCCTAGAGGAATAGAGAGTGGGAGATGGTTGTGGACCTGCCCCCAGGCCAGTGTCTCTCTGGCATTCTTTTTGTGGATGACAATGTTCCATAGAGTGATGTGATGGTTGTTTACCACTGGGCAGCTTAGGTCATTCCTTACTGATTGAAAATCAAACTTGTTTCTTCTTCCTTCTTCTATTGTGAAGCAGCGAGTGACAAGCACATCCAATGGCTCCTAGGGGCAGATGGCGAGGTCTGGGTCTGGATCATGGGAGAAGGCCCTGGTGACAAGCCCTACGAAGAGATCTCTGAGGAGCTGATTGCAGAGAGGGCGCGGCTGCAGGCACAGAGGGAAGCTGAGGAGCTCTGGTGAGGGGTGCTATGGGGTGTTGGGTGGGGCCTAGGCATGGAAGCTATGCTTAGCCCCACGCACGGCTAATTTTTGTATTTTTAGTAGAGATGGAGTTCCATCATGTTGGCCGGGCTGGTCTCAAACTCCTGACCTCAGGTGAGCCACCCGCTTCGGCCTCCCAAAGTGTTGGGATTATAGGCGTGAGCCACCACACCCAGCCTTAATGATGGTATTTTAATTGAAAGATTCTAAAATCAGGTAAACAACACTGAAAACTATACAAAATAAAGAACAACTCACACCCACCACCTAATGTAACCATAGTGAATGTTTAGTTAATACATGCTTTGTAAATTGTTTTATTCACACCTTGACAAATTGACTTATAGATCCAAAATGCTACTTAAGATTACTATATGGTACAGGTATTTATTATATGATATGAGAAACCCAACTTATTGGTCTTATTGGTGGACATTTGGGTTGTTTACCATTTTTTATATTATAAAAATAATCTGACAAGCATCTTTTACATGCATCTTTGTTTTATTTACTTATGAATTTATTTATTTATCATTTTGTTTTGTTTTTTTGAGACAGGGTCTCACTCTGTTTCCCAGGCTGGAGTGCAGTGTCATGATCAAGGCTCACTGCAGCCTTGATCTCCTGGGCTCAAGTGATCCTCCCGCCTCAGCCTCCTGAGTATCTGGGACACAGGTGCATGCCACCAGACATGGCTAATTTTTCAAATTTTTAGTAGAGACGGTGTCACACTATGTTGCCCAGGCTGGTCTTGAACTCCTGGCCTCAAGCGATCCTCCTGCCACTGCCTCCCAAAATGCTGGGATTACAGGCATGCACCACCATGCCTAACCTACATGTATCCTTGTACGCTTGAGTGAGTGTAGAAAATCTAGGAAATGGGGTTTCTAGCATAGTTTTCCTGGCTTCCAGAACAATTGTGCCGATTTACACTCCCATGCGTGAGAATGCCTATTTCTCCCTGTCTTTGCCAACACCGAATTCTGATAGACCAAGGAAAAATTGCTCATTGTTTTTATTTCAAGTTCTATTGTTAGGTGGTCCTTCAGTTTTTCACACAAGCTTATACCTGTGGTGCTCTCTTGGTAGGAGACAGAAGGAGGCAGAGATCACCAAGAAGTTCCGGGATGCTCTGGCCAATGAGAAAGCCCGGATCTTGGCGGAGAAGTGGAAAGTGGAGATGGAAGACCGCAAGGCTGCCAAAGTCCTGGAGGAACGCATCCACGAGGAATTCAAGGTGGGCCAGCGCATGGGGCCCCTGCGTGCGGCCACCTAATTAGCCCCTGAGACCACTGGGGCTGACCTCTGGTTTGGATCAATCCTTGGCCATTGGTTGGTACTGGGTGCTTTATGAGAATAGAAATCTGTAATGTCTGAGCAGGAAGGAACTTGACACACCATTTGGGCCAATCCACTTCTGTTTCTTTTTTTTTTCTTTTTTTTTTTTTTTGAGACGGAGTCTTGCTCGTCGCCCAGGCTGGAGTGCAGTGGCGCAGTCTCGGCTCACTGCAAGCTCTGCCTCCCGGGTTCACGCCATTCTCCTACCTCAGCCTCCCGAGTAGCTGGGACTACAGGTGCCCACCACCACACCCGGCTAAATTTTTGTATTTTTAGTAGAGACGGGGTTTCACCGTGTTAGCCAGGATGGTCTTGATCTCCTGACCTCGTGATCCGCCCGCCTCGGCCTTCCAAAGTGCTGGGATTACAGGCGTGAGCCACTGCGCCCGGCCGGGCCAATCCACTTCTTATTTTACAGATGAGGAAACTGAGGGTGAGACAGAAGAGACTTGGCCAAGTTCACATATAGTAGTGGTTAGGGATAGACTCAGAATCAGAACCGGGGCCTTTTGCATCCCAAACCACCAGTCCAGAAATGAGGCCTAGAACATTCCTTGTTCATAATATTCAGGTAATAATAACACTCTTCTGGAAATATTTATGAGGATTCAAGGAGATGATATAGTCACATTTTGTGGTCTAGGATAAAGAGTTATTGGTCTATTGACAGGTGCTGGTTAGAACAAATAGTAGGTTTTTCCGGTAACGTTGAGCTTTTTAATGGAGGTCTAGAGTCATCCTAGGGACATGATCTTATGCTGCTAGAAGCCATGGCCAGAGTTTGATGGAGTTGTTAACGTGTGTGCAGAGAGTCTTGCAGTTGTCAATATACTCATGGCATTTTCCCATTAAAAAAATTTTAAAACTTTGTTTTGCCCCATACTAATTAGACAGTGAGGACATTGGCCTTGCCTTGCCTTCCCTCCACTCCCCTCCCCTCCCCTTTCTTTTCTTTTTTGAGACGGAGTCTTGCTTTGTTGCCCAGGCTGGAGTTCAATGGCGTGATCTCGGTTCACTGCAACCTCTGCCTCCCGGGTTGAAGGGATTCTTCTGCCTCAGCCTCCCGAGTAACTGGGAGTACAGGCGTGCATCACCATGCCCGGCTAATTTTTGTATTTTTAGTAGAGACGGGGTTTCACCAGGTTGGTCAGGCTGGTCTCGAACTCCTGACTTTGTGATCTGCCCGCCTCAGCCTCCCAAAGTGCTGGGATTATGGGTGTGAGCCACTGCACCCGACCAATGTTGGCCTTTTCATGTATGTTGCAAATATATATATATATATATATATATATATATATATATATATATTTTTTTTTTTTTTTTTTTTTTTTTTTTTTGAGACGGAGTCTCCCTCTGTCTCCTTGGTGCGATCTCGGCTCACTGCAAGCTCCGCCTCCCGGGTTCATGCCATTCCCTTGCCTTAGCCTCCTGAGTAGCTGGGACTACAGGCGCCCGCCACCGCGCCCGGCTAATTTTTTTTTTGTATTTTTTAGTAGAGACGGGGTTTTGTGTTAGCCAGGATGGTCTCGATCTCCTGACCTCGTGATCCGCCCACCTCGGCCTCCCAAAGTGCTGGGATTACAGGCGTGAACCACCGTGCCCGGCCTATGTTGCAAATATTTTTATCAGTGTTATTTTTTTCTTAAATTTGGTTTCAGTATGTTCAGATGTACATAGGATTAAACTTTTAATTGGCTAAATCTATCAGTCTATTTATTTTCATTATTTGCTTCATGCTTAGAAGAATCTGTGACATCACAAGCTTATAAAAATCTACATTGTTTATATGTCTTTCCTGATTTTACTTCAACTAGTTTTCCTTCACTTTGGAGGGTGATGTAATAGAGGGCTCTTTATTTTCTTCCAAATGGCAGCCAGTAGTCCCCATATTATTTATTATGTAATCTGTCTTTTCCCTTCTCATTTGACTTGCTGCCTTCATTGGATTCTTACTTGTTACTTACTTGTGGACCTTTTTGTGGATTTTTCTTCTTTGATTTATTATTCCTGAGCCAGACTTAATTGTTTAATTATTGTAGCTTTAAAATAAATTTTAACATCTGTTAAGGTAAGAACCCTACCATTACTCTTCATTTCCAAAATGTCCTTGGCTAATCTCACCCATTTTTTTTTCTGCCAGGGAAACTTGAATTATTTTGTCATTATCTCCCACCCTCTTAACAACAAAGACCTCGGTGATTTTCATTAGAATTGCATCAATTTATAGCTGTCTTTGTGAAAAATGGACATTTTTACAATATTGAATCATTGAATCTTCTTGTTCAGAAATGTGATATGTTATTCAAAGGTTCTTTTTGTCTTTGTTAATTTTTTAAAATACCTTTAAAAGTGCTGACCACCTAATCCCAAACTTTCTCAATAACTTT
This sequence comes from Homo sapiens, assembly GCF_000001405.40. Classification (NCBI taxonomy): domain Eukaryota; kingdom Metazoa; phylum Chordata; class Mammalia; order Primates; family Hominidae; genus Homo; species Homo sapiens. The sequence goes on from NC_000010.11 coordinate 80,574,067, forward strand.
TATCTATATACCTATATGCTTCTATTTTTTGGAACTTGGTAAAATTTATTTTCTTGAAGTGCTCCACATTTGTTTTTTCTTTTTATTTGAGATAGGGTCTCACTCTGTTGCCCAGGCTAGAGTGCAGTGGCACAATCTCAGCTCACTGTAACCCCTGTCTCCTGGGCTTAAGTGATCCTCCCTCCTCAGCCTCCCAAGTAGCTGGAACTGCAGGCATGTGCCACCACACCCAACTAATTTTTGTATTTTTTGTAGAGACAGGATTTCACCATGTTGCCCAGCTGGTCTTGAACTCCTGAGCTCAAGCCAACCACCTACCTTGGCCTCCCAAAGTGCTGGGATTACAGGCATGAGCCACTACACCTACCCATGCATTTCTTTTTTAGTTAAACTTCAGGTTTAATATTCGTTGTTGCTATTGTGAATAAGATTGTACCCATTATTTTTAAACCTATTGTACTTGCTAGTTATATATTTGGATCCACAGCCTGTGGTTGAGACACTCAGTGAACCTGAGAGTCTGGCCAGATGGCCCTAGTGATCCTCCATGAGTGTTATTAATCTCCTTATTTAATTTTCCCATGAGTTGTAAATTTTTTAGCAGATTTTCCTGAGTTTTTATTATCAATTAATTAATTAATTAATTTGTTTGAGACGGAGTTTCGCTCTTGTTGTCCAGGCTGGAGTGCAATGGCGCAATCTCGGCTCACTGAAGCCTCCACCTCCCAGGTTCAAGTGATTCTGCTGCCTCAGCCTCTCAAGTAGCTGGGATTGCAGGCACCCACCACCACACCCAGCTAATTTTTGTATCTTTAGTAGAGATGGGGTTTCACCATGTTGGTCAGGCTGGTCTCGAACTCCTGACCTCAAGTGATCCACCCACCTTGGCCTCCCAAAGTGCTGGGATTACAGGCATGAGCCACCATGCCTGGCCTCTTGTGAGTTTTTAAATGGAGTATAATGTGGAAAACAGTATTTGGAAACAGTATGTACCCTCCACACATTTTATTTTTTTAAAATTTCAAACATGAAGAAAAGTTGAAAGAAAAAATAAAATGAATACTCATATATTCTCCATTTAAATTCACCAATTTTTAACATTTTACCACATTTGCCTTCTCTCTCTGGCAAATGTGGTAAAATATTAATAATTGGTGAATTTAAATGGAGAATATTTATATGCTCACTCACACTCATATACACTTTGTTGTTGCTATTGTTTTACTAAACAATTTTAAAGGAAGTCATGGATGATGATATTCTAACCCAGGGGCTGGCAAACTATTTTCTGTAAAGGGCCAGATAGTAAATATTTTAGGCTTTGGGAGCCAACTGTCCCTGTCACACAACTACTCAACTCTGCTGCTGTAGCACAATAGCAGCTACTGACAATTTAGAAACAAAGGGATGTGGGCTGGGCACAGTGGCTCACACCTGTAATCCCAGCACTTTGGGCAGCTGAGGCGGGTGGATCACTTGAGGTCAGGAGTTCGAGACCAGCCTGGCCAACATGGTGAAACTACTAAAACATGGTGAAACTACTAACAATACAAAATACTAAAAAATACAAAAATTAGCCACGCCTGTAATCCCAGCTACTCAGGAGGCTGAGGCAGGAGAATTGCTTGAACCCAGGAGGCAGAGGTTGCAGCGAGTGGAGATTGAGCCACTGCACTCCAGCCTAGGATCCTTAGTTTGCAGATTCCTGATCAAAACCTAAGAAGTTCAACATGCATCTCCTATGAAGAAGGGCATTTCCCTCCACAGCTATAAAAGTCATTTTCACACCTATTGAAATGAACAATAACTCCATAATAGTATTTCAAATCCAACCCACAGTGGAGAGATACTTAGTTTATGTTGCTGGGTTTTGCATATGATTATTTAAGTCTGTTCGGGAAGAAAACCAATTCTTTTTATCTCTCTCCTAACCGTGAAAGCACCTGCTCTAATTTCTGGCCTTCCTCTTTCCCACATGGGGGCTGAGCTCCAGATACTGGAAGAGTGGCTCTGTGGAGCTGGAGTCCTGGGGCTCAGCTCACAAGGAGATCATGAAGGGATTAAGGTATGAGTGGAGGTTTTCTGGTCAATGGTCTCCTTGAGAACCTCAGTGATAGAGTGGGTGAGAAATTGTGGGATGTTCTATGCTGGGGCTCATGAAGGATCACTAGGGCCATTTGGCCAGACTCTCATGTTCACTGAGGGTCTCAACCACAGGCTGTGGATGTTATTGCCAAGGAAGGTTATGATTATTATATGTTTGTTTTGGTTCAAATATTAATTTGATAAATGTGAATGTTTAAACTTCATTAGAAATAGTAATCTTGATCTGGCATATCTTCATTTTGAAGAGCCTCAGAAATGCCTTGGAGAGGCTCATTAGGGCACTATCTGTTAGCAACATTAGAACAAGTACTGTGCAGTTGAATGGTCCAGGTTCATGAGCTGAGATATCTTCTGTTTGCTCTGCCTGTAAGTGCACTGCCCTTTTGCTGTGTGGAACTCTTCATCACAGGAAATAGTTAAGCCTAGGCTAAAACATGATCTGAAAGGTTTCTGTGGTAGGTTAAATGGGATTTGCGGCAAATTGTTTGCCCCTCCTCCCTTTGAGAGGTAGGATCTATTCCCCCTCCCTTTTTGGCTGCGCCAGCCTTATGACTAGCTGTGATGTGTAGAATGCAGTAGTAATGACTGATATAACTTTTTAATTTTTTAATCCGAGATGGAGTCTCACTCTGTTGCCCAGGCTGGAGTGCAGGGACATGATCTTGGCTCACTGAAACTTCTGCCTCCTGGGTTCAAGTGATTCTCCTGCTTCAGCCTCCCAGGTAGCTGGGATTACAGGTGCACACCACCACACCCAGCAATTTTTTGTAGTTTTAGTAGAGACAGGTTTCACCATGTTAGCCAAGTTGGTCTCGAACTCCTGACCTCAAGTGATCTGCCTGCCTCAGCCTCCCAAAGAGTTGGGATTACAGGCATGAGCCACTGCGCCTGGACTGATACAACTTTTGAGGAAAGACTATAACGGAGCTGAAGTTTCTACTTTTCCCTCTCTTGCGATGCTCATTTTTGGAAGCTGTCCTATAAGAATCCCTACTACCCTACACTACACACTGTAAGGAAACCCAAGTTAGCCATGCAGAGAGGAAGAGGCTACATGGAGAGGCACTGATCCACCAGACACATGAGCAAAGCCTTGGTTCTGCCAGCCCATCCCAGTGAATGACCCCAACCAAATGATTGACCTCAATTGATACCAAGTGGTGCAGAAGAGCCACCCAGCCAAGCCCTTCCTGAATTATTAACCTGCAGAATCATACACAAATAAAATGGTAGTTGTTTTAGACCACTGAATTTTCTGTTTTTTTTTTTTTTGAGACGGAGTCTCGCTCTGTCGCCCAGGCTGGAGTGCAGTGGCGCAATCTCAGCTCACTGCAAGCTCCACCTCCCAGGTTCATGCCATTCTCCTGCCTCAGCCTCCCAAGTAGCTGGGACTACAGGTGCCTGCCACCACGCCCGGCTAATTTTTTGTATTTTTAGTAGAGACGGGGTTTCACCATGTTAGCCAGGATGGTCTTGATCTCCTGACCTTGCGATCCACCCGCCTCAGCCTCCCAAAGCGCCGGGATTACAGGTGTGAGCCACAGCGCCCGGCCTTTTTTTTTTGTATTTTTAGTAGGGACGGGGTTTCACCGTGTTAGCCAGGATGGTCTCGATCTCCTGACCTCGTGATCTGCCTGCCTCGGCCTCCCAAAGTGCTGAGATTACAGGCGTGAGCCACCACGCCTGGCCTTAGACCACTGAATTTTCTGGTAATTTGTTACTCAGCAGTAGACAACCAAAAACAGCTTCACCAAGGGATTTATGCATTGGGTTAGAGATTGGCTTAGATAATTTTTTTTCTTTCTTTTTTTTTTTCGAGACAGGGTCCGGCTCTGTTACCCAGGCCAGAGTGCAGTGGCACAATCTCAGCTCACTGCAACCTCCGTCTCTTGGACTCTAGCCATCGTCCCACTTCAGCCCCCCAAGTAGCTGGGACTACAGGGATGCACCACCATACCTGGCTAATTTTTGTATTTTTTGTAGCGATGGGGTTTTGCCATGTTGCCCAGGCTCATCTGGAATTTCTGAGCTCAAGCAATCCGCCCATGTCAACTTTCCAAAGTGAGATAATTTTTACTGTGTCTTTCAACAGTAGGGTTCTAACATTCTGAGTCTTGCTTGTAGGAATGTACCAACAACCTTCATTTAATACTCTCTTTTTTTCCTGAGAACCTAAGGGGAGGCTGTTTGTTGTGGGGGAGGAGGGGAGAAATAAACTACCAGCTCTCAAAAGCTTACAGGGTGCCAGGGGAGAGAGAGACAACTCCATGAGCAACCCTTAGTGCCAACCACACCCCGGGGAGTATAATGGAGGGCAGAGGAGTAACTTTAGAGGTCTGGGCATGAGCAAGCACAAGAGATGGAAAGGAGAACTGTAGAATGATGAATGGTCTGCTGGAAGGAGAGAGAAAAAGTTCATGATGGATGGAGCCAGACATACGCCTGGAAAGGAGGTAGGGTGTGAAGCTCTTAAATGCTACATTAAGGGGGTGGACTTTCCTCTGTGGGCAAAGCAGGATCTTGATACAAAGAAGGATGTGGTCAGATGAAGTTTTAGGAGCACCACTGATGGCAATGATGTGATTCAAGTGATGAGTTTTCAGGCAAGGAGACTAGTTAGGAGATTTTTGCAATGGTCAAGGCCAATGAGCAAGGGTCTGGACAGAGTCTATGACAACGAGGAAGGAGAGAAGGGATGGATATAGCAAAATGGTGGTGGTGAAATCAATAGGGCTTGGCATCAATTAGATGTTGGGATGAGGGAAAGCAAAGAGCAAAGACATCCAAGTCCCAAGCTGGGAGATGAGGAGATGGCAGCACCATCCCACCATGGGGAGCTGGGGAGGGTGTGCAGATTTGCAGGAAAGAGAAAGTGCTTAGATTGACTGCATTGAGGGATTTTTACCCCACAGAGAAGGGAGATAGGTGGAGGCTGGAGGAGAGGTGAGAGCTTGGGTGAAAAGCCTGGTGATGGAGAGAGATGGGCTGGGCTCACTTTCTGCAGCTCATGTTGAGGATGTAGGCAGGTTCTGCTAATTCTCCAGGTCATGGAAAAGGTAATAATGACAACTGCATTCTGAAAATGGAAAAAAAAATCCCAGAATCTTTATATTGGGTTACAGAGGGAACTCTGAAGATGAGACAGCTGGAAACCGGTTTTTAAAAACCATTCTGCTGTGGCTGGTGCCATTTGAATGTAATTTACATGCATATAAAAGTGTTCCTTTAGAAAAAAGGAGATCCTGAGGCCAGATAAAATTTGCATTTATTTCCCCCGTGCTTTCTTAACTCCTAAAATTGCTTCTGGACATTTCTCCTTCTGTTCAAGACCACAGAACACGGCTCAATAAACATCCTGTGCTCTTCTTCCACCCCGGGGTCCTGTGACCTTCCTTCTCTGCTTGCAATCTCCCTCCCTCCTCCCACTCCCACCTCTTCCTGGTTTTACTCTTAACGAACAGACATGGTTGATTCTGTTCAGTTGTTTATTAATTTTTTTTCCATTTTCTATTCAAGGCCACTCCCTTTTTTTTTCTCCTTTAAGTTTGGAGTTCCTTTTGGCCACCTAATGAACTCCTATACAACTTTAGAAACGATTACTGCTTTATTTCCAATAAGATTAGAAGTGGTGGGAAAATTTTCTACTTCTCAATTTTCTCTTGAAAATTTTAGACTTTACCAGAACTTCTCTAGGCAAGGCTGACGCCGACAAAACAACATGATGTGGTGTACCCTGTCCCTCCCGGGGATCATCACAAACCCTGTCTTCTCTTTACCTGTTTGATAACTCATTCACTTCTCTGGTCAGCATTTATGGAGCACCTGATATCTGCTATGTCCTGTGCTGTGAACTGGCAATGGAGGAATGAACAGCATAGGTTTGGTTCTGCTTTTTTGGAGTGCTTCAGCTCACTGTGGTGTTATTGGGGCCAGACTAACAACAAAAATGAGGATGCCTTTGTCACCTGAAAAATGATGAGGTTCATAAATTTGGAAAGGGGAGCTTTATATCTCCTAAAGGGTTGCAGCCTGCAGGTGGCTATTTTGACAGGCTGGGAAGCCCAGCTTCTGGTCAGAAGCTGGTAGCAGGCACTTTGAGGCAGGGAAGAATGAGACAGGAGTTTATGCTGACCAGGTTAGCTGAGTCTACATATTACAATTAGACCCTATACATCAAAAGGCAAAGCAGAGGGCGTGAAGGCCCTTAGGGTACATCCTCTGTAGACTGGCCAGAACTACTCTGTGGTCGGTGGTCTCTTATCAGGAAGGAAGGCTGGTCAGTTGTTGTGTCAAAACCATGAAAAGGGAGGGGCAGCATCAGGCTGTTGGTTGATATCAGTCTTTCAAAAGGGCTGGTTTCTATTTAGTCCTTAGGGAAGAAAGCCTAATGGTGGTTACTGAGGCAAGTCTGATCTCCTCTCCCATCATGGCTGGGAACTCAGTTTTTAAAGTTTCTCATGAGTCCCCTTGGCCAAGAAAAGGTCTGTTCCATTGCTTAGGGGGCCTAGGATTTTAAAAAATTTTTCACTTTCTAGAAAAGGCATTTGTCTTGATGACATTTTCCACAGGATTCTGGCAGACCCTGGCCTCTGTGGGTTCCTGTGGTGTGCTGTTACTGATGGGTTATGAGGAGAAGGGAGATTGAATAAGCTGGACAGCTCAGAGGGCTTTGGGCAGCCAGAGCAAGGCGATTAATTCCTAGGCAGCAGGGGAGTCTTTGCGTGTCTGGCCTTTTGGCTGCTAAACCTCAGAAAAATGGGCTTTTCTTTCAGTGGTATTAGATGGCTCAGAGAATTCTGGTAGTTGCAACAGCAATGAGAATTTTTAGGCAATTTCAGCTTTGAGCGTTATTTTAGCAAGACCATGTGTAATGCAACAGTAGTTGCAAAATGTTTTCCTTTGTCGTCCCCATCCTTGTGAAGAGCTTTCCTTTATCACAGTAAATGGCCAGTCATTTTCCTCTGAGATGGGCGGTTGCTGTAGGCCTCTGGTTCCCTGGGTGGTGTCCTACTCTCCAGGTGAAGAAGAACTGATTGAACATGGCCCTACAATTTAACTTGCTGCTTCCTTTTAGTCACAGCCAGTTGAAGTAGGAACATTGCATTGTAATCTGAGGTGGTTAAGGGCCACTTATCCACCATAGGCCAGTCAGACACTTATCCACTGTGTGCCAGTCATTTCCTGGGCTCCAATCTCCTTGTTATGGGCTGAATTATGTCCCTGCTAAAATCCGTATTTTGAAGTCCTAATCCCCGGGACCTCAGAATGTAACTATATTTGGAGATAAGCTCTTTACACAGGTAATTCAGTTAAAATGAGATCGAGTGGGTTAGACCCTACTCCAATATGACTGCTGTCCTTATAAAAAGGGAGATTTGGACACAGACGGGCACACACTCAGAGGGAAGGCTGTGAGTGACACAGCAAGAAGGCAGCCAGCCAAGGAGAAGGGCCTCAGCACGAAGCCAACCCTGCCACACCTTGACTTTGGATTGCAGCCTCCATGATTGAGGAAATAGAGTTCTGTCATTTAAGCCTCCTCAATCTGTGGTACTTCGTTATGGCGGCCTGAGCAAATTGATACACTCCTTATCTGCACAAGGAAGTGGCAGCATGCAGTTGATGTCCCTCTGGCTCTGACAGGCCTTGACTGTATTCTTCCTGACACCTGCTCCTGCCTGGAAGACCCCAGTGGGTCAGGGGTGGGTCCTTTGGTATACTTCAATAGATCAACAAGCAGATAAAAGGAGATAACTGTGCATTTTTACTCCTTTGTTTTAAAAATGACAAGATTTTTGTTCCTTCTGACCTGACATAGACTGGGGACTTTTCTCCAATTCAATGATTAATTTTTTAATGCTAAAAGTAGACAAAATTCCGATTTCCTTATGACCCACTCTCTAAGAGTTGGGAATTAAGGGCTAAAGAAGGTAAGTGACTTCTTCTAATTGTTCACCAAATACTTTTTCATCTGTTTTTTCCAGGCTACCACCTCCCTCCCTCTGGCCAGAAGAAGAGGGAAAGTTGAAAGGGAAACGCTGGGGTGTTGGGGTATCAGGCAGAGTGAAGGGAGCAGGAGGGAAACGGGGAGATTAAGGAAAGGTCTGAATTCTGAATGGTGGGACCTGCAGCCAGGGTTGCCCCTAGGGTGTACAGAGTTGGCAAATATTTCTTTGTGCAGTCTTTGTTTATATTAAAAATCCGAGTCACATAAAATCAGCCTTTTAGCACTATTCTGGTGACCCAATCTCATGTGATCCTCTGCTAAAAATACTGTGCTGGCAAGGGCTTCATCTGGTTGCTAGGCTACCCTTCTGGAACCAGGACCCCCGCACTGGGGCCCAGGGTGACTTCATAAATAGGAATCCTGGAGTTCCTTGGGATATCTGCTCAATCTCTTGATGAGGGATATGGTCAGAGAGCACCCTGAAGGAAAGAAACAGGGAGTCGGGCTCATGTAGAACCTATTCTGGGCCTGGGGCACCTTACCTGGACAACACCACCTGCCCTTACCATTCCTGGGGGGACTAACTATTTCTGGCCACTCCTGAGGGGAGACTTGAGGAAATTTACAAGAAGGTGCTTTAAAGCATGGGTTTCTGTGAAGCATGGGGCTCAGGCCAGGGGCCCTGCTTGCTGCAGGCAGTCCTGCTTGCAGCCTGCTCCCCTCCAATTCCTGGAATGCTGGGGGTGATACCACCCAGGAAGGACAGAGAAGGCACTGAATAATCTCAGAGGAGGGGCCTCTAGATACTTACATCTGAGGGTCCTGCAACATGGCTGGTTCCTCCTACGATTGCCCTAGAGCAAAGTCCTCCTCTCAATGAAGCCTGGAGCATGCTCTCTGAGTTTCCTACTCAGATATTTACTTCTCTCTTGAATATGAATAGTCAGGGAACATCAGACTGCCGAGAAAAACCTTTCACATGTATGACAGGCACCAAATCAAACGAACTTAAACCATACTCGCACACAGAGGAAACAGACCTAAATCAGAGCACATGGGAAGAAAATGCCCTAAAATCCTCAGAGAAATGAGTTATTGCATTCATAAAACAAGTGCAAGATGCAATGAAGAGAAAAGAACAACCAAAGAATAAGAATGAGAGCTTGGAAATTACACGTGATAGCTGAAATAAAAAACTCAGTAGAAGGTTTGGAAGATAAAGTCGATGAAATCAACCAGGAAGTAGAAGAAAAAAGACAACAGATGGAGCCGGGCGCGGTGGCTCACACCTGTAATCCCAGCACTTTAGGAGGCTGAGGCGGGCGGATCACCTGAGGTTGGGAGTTCAAGACCAGCCTGACCAACATGATGAAACCCGTCTCCACTAAAAATACAAAAATTAGCCAGGGGTGGTGGCATGCGCGCCTGTAATTCCAGCTACTCGGGAGGCTAAGGCATGAAAATTGCTTGAACCTGGGAGGTAGAGGTTACAGTGAGCCAAAATCGTGCCACTGTACTCCAGCCTGGGTGACAGTGAGACTCTGTCTCAAAAAAATAAAAAAGACAGATGGAGAGCAAGAGAGGAAAATGATAAGGCAGTTAGAAGATAAACTCAAGAAGACCATTATTTGACAAATAGGAGCTCTATAAGGAAAAACAAGAAATTAGAAGAGAAGAAATTATCAAAGAAATGCTAAGCAAAGATGTATTAGACTGGAAAGATAAGAGACTACAGACTGAAAGTACCCCCAAGTGGCCAACACAATCAACGCAAGAAAATCCACACCAAGGCACATCATATTAAAAAGTTCAGAACATTGGTGTTAAAGAGACTTCAGGGGCTTCCAGAGAGAAAAATAAATGCCTTGTGCAGAAGAATGAGAATCAGATTGGTAGTTCTGGATGATAGAAGACAAGGAAGTCTTTAACATTCTGCAGGAAAATGATTTTTAATCAAATTCTGTGCTCAGCTAAATTGGCAGTTACATGTAAATGTGGCATATAGACATTTCCAGACAAGACTCAGAAAGTGTCTCTATGCATTCTTAGCTGAGAAGTGTTAAATGCTGCTGCAAAATGGCAGAGTGGTCAAGAAAGAAACAGGGGCTCCAACTCAAGGAAGGTTGAGAGGTGTGCCATTTGTAGGTGGATGGAGAGGAGGCTTAGGTGGTAACCAGTGCAGATGGGAGAAGAAAAGATGGCACCCGGGGTAGTGTGTCCTTTGGAAAAAGATAACTTTTGTATTGTCTGTTATAAGAAAAAGCACTTGGTTAAACACAGAGAATGATTTACTACATCTGAGAAAACTTTGGGAAAATTCAATATTCAGCTTCAAGATGTATTAACCCAGGAAAAACCAGAAAAAATGACTGGAAAGAAAAGGCTTCCATACCTGTCATATTTTACTGAATTTAAGTTACCTTTAATAGCAAAACATATCATTATTTAAGAGGATAAAAGTGTTGCTTATTAAAAAGCAAGCTGTAAGTTTTAAAACATCCAAATTTCAGAGATGTTACAAGGTTAAAAAAATGTACTTTTTGGAACTGATGAAAATAGCACCCTATTTGGCTTTGCAGTAAACTATTTTGATGCTGATTATTGACTTAACTACAGATTATGAGGCAAATTTATTATGAGGCTGAGGAGAGAAAAAGTATGGTGTATGGATGTTCACCTGTGGGAAATATAAGTGCTAAATATGCATGTGCCAAAAAAGAAAGGCAAGATTTAACATCTAGATTGATAACTTGATAAATCAAGGATTAGCAGCATTAATCAGACACATGGACGTAGCCAAGCAAAGGAACAGCTAACATAGTTGAAAATGGTGGCCTCCAGGCATTGGTTTAATTAAGGCTGGTTGGATTGGGTTCTGGTGAAGCTATTTAGAGACTGCTGATTTTCATTAGAAGCCTGTGTTTCATAATGTATGTTTAACACATACATGTTACTTTGATGTAAACAAAGGTAGAAGAAAATACACACAGGTATAACTTTTTTAGAGCTCAGGAGTGGGACAGAAATGGGAAATTTAGGGACCCCAAATCTCTCTCTCTGAGACTTTATCCAGACTTAAGGTTAAGACATAATCATACCCTGCTTCACTGGCTTTCAGGAAGAGACCAGACACCTGTCCCTGTGTCTTCCCTCCCTCTTCCTCCAAAATGAAAGTACACCTAAGGATGGCACAGACTCCTCTTTTTCTTTTTTTTTTTTTTGAGATGGAGAGTCGCCCAGTCTAGAGTGCAATGGCGTGATCTCAGCTCACTGCAACCTCCACCTCCCGGGTTCAAGTGATTCTCCTGCCTCAGCCTCCCAAGTAGCTCGGATTACAGGTGCATGCCACCATGCCCGACTAATTTTTGTATTTCTTAGTAGAGACGGGGTTTCACCATGTTGGCCAGCTGGTCTCAAACTCCTGACCTCAGGTGATCTGCCTGCCTTGGCCTCCCAAAGTGCTGGGATTACAGGCGTGAACCACCGCGCCCAGCCAGGATGGCAGAGTCCTCTTACCTCTGCAGTAAGATGTGGAGTTTACACTTTGTTCCACGTATTTCTTTTTTCTTTCTTTCTGAGAGGTGACAGCGTGCTAGCAGCCCTCACAGCCCTCGCTCACTCTGGGCACCTCCTCTGCCTGGGCTCCCACTTTGGCGGCACTTGAGGAGCCTTTCAGCCCACCGCTGCACTGTAAGAGCCCCTTTCTGGGCTGGCCAAGGCCAGAGCCGGCTCCTTCAGCTTGCAGGGAGGTGTGGAGGGAGAGGCACAAGCAGGAACCGGGGCTGCACGTGGCGCTTGCGGGCCAGCTGGATTTCTGGGTGGGCGTGGGCTAGGTGGCCCCACACTCGGAGCGTCGAGCCGGCCCCGCCAGCCCGGGCAATGAGGGGCTTAGCACCCAGGCCAGCAGCTGCGGAGAGTGTGCTGGGTCCCCCAGCAGTGCCGGCCCAGCGGCACTGCACTTGATTTCTCAGGGGGCCTTAGCTGCCTCCCCGTGGGGCAGGGCTCGGGACCTGCAGCTTGCCATGCCTGAGCCTCCCCCTCCTCCATGGGCTCCTGTGCCGCCGAGCCTCCACGACGAGCGCCGCCCCCTGCTCCATGCCGTCCAGTCCCATCAACCACCCAAGAGCTGAGGAGTGTGGGCGCACGGCGTGGGACTGGCAGGCATCTCCACCTGCGGCCCTGGTGCGCGATCCACTGGGTGAAGCCAGCTGGGCTTCTGACTCTGGTGGGGACTTGGAGAACCTTTATGTCTAGCTAGGGGATTGTAAATACACCAATCGGCACTCTGTATCTAGCTCAAGGTTTGTAAACACACCTGTCAGCACCCTGTGTCTACCTCAGGGTTTGTGAATGCACCAATCGACACTGTATCTAGCTACTCTGGTGGGGGCTTGGAGAACCTTTGTGTCCACACTCTGTATCTAGCTAATCTGGTGGGGACGTGGAGAACCTTTGTGTCTAGCTCAGGGATTGTAAACGCACCAATCAGTGCCCTGTCAAAACAGACCACTGGGCTCTCTGTAAAATGGACCAATCAGCAGGATGTGGGTGGGGCCAGATAAGAGAATAAAAGCAGGCTGCCCCGAGCCAGCAGTGGCAACGGGCTGGGATCCCCTTGCCGCTGTGGAAGCTTTGTTTTTTCACTCTTTACAATAAATCTTGCTGCTGCTCACTCTTTGGTTCCACGCTGCCTTTATGAGCTGTAACACTCATAGTGAAGGTCTGCAGCTGCACTCCTGAAGCCAGGGAGACCACGAACCCACCGGGAGGAACGAGCAACTCCAGACGCACTGCCTTAAGAGCTGTAACACTCACCGCGGAGGTCCGCAGCTTCACTCCTGAGCCAGCGAGACCACGAACCCACCAGAAGGAAGAAACTCCGAACACATCCGAACATCAGAAGGAACAAACTCCGGATATGCCACATTTAAGAACTGTAACACTCACCTCGAGGGTCCGCGGCTTCATTCTTGAAGTCAGTGAGACCAAGAACCCACCAATTCCGGCCACGTTTTTTTTTTTTTTTGTTTTGTTTTTTTTTTTTTTTTTGGAGACGCCCAGGCTGGAGTGCAGTGGCGCGATCTCGGCTCACTGCAACCTCTGCCTCCTGGGTTCAAGCCATTCTCGTGCCTCTTGAGTAACTCTTGTTTTTGTTGTTGTTGTTGTTGTTTTTTCTTTGAGATGGAGTTTTGCTCTTGTTGCCCAGGGTGGAGTGCAGTGGTGCGATCTCAGCTCACTGCAACCTCCTCCTTCCGGTTCAAGCGATTCTCCTGCCTCAGCCTGCCTAGCAGCTGGGATTACACACATGCGCCACCATGCTGGGCTAATTTTGTATTTTTAGTAGAGACGGGGTTTCTCCATGTTGGTCAAACTGGTCTCAAACTTCTGACCTCAGGTGATCCGCCTGCCTTGGCCTCCCAGAGTGCTGGGATTACACGCGTGAGCCACGACGCCCAGCTTTTTTTTTTCTTTCTAAACTTTTATTTTAGATTCCAGAGGTGCATGTGCAGGTTTGTTACAAGGGTATATTGTGTGATGCTGAAGTAAGGGTTACGATTGAACCCATGATCTAGGTAGTGAGCATATTACCCAAGAGGCACTTTTTTAGTCATTCCCCGTCTCCCTGTCTCCCACTTGCAGTAATCCCCAGTGTCTGTCATTCCTGTCTTTATGTCCATGAGTACCCAGTGTTTAGCTTCCACTTATAAGTGAGAACATGCAGTGTTTGGTTTTCTGTTTCTGTGTAGGTTCACTTACTATAATGGCCTCCAGATGCATCTATGTTACTGCAGAGGACGTGACTTCATTCTGTTTTATGGCTGTGTAGTATTCTGTGGCATTCCACCTGTTTCAACCCATTTTCTCCTCACCACCACCTTGTCAGTTAAGTTAGGTGGCACGATCACCACCACTTTATTACTAAAACACCAGGGTTCCATCCAGGTCCTACTGCTTGCGGCACAGAAAGTCAATCACCTAGATGATGAGTATTGCCAAGGAAGAAGGCTTTAATCAGGTGCTGCAGCTGAGGAGATGGGAGCTCAGCCTCAAATCCATCTTCATCTCCCTAACTGACTATAACTAGAGGTTTGTGTAGCAGGTAAGAAATATAACAATGTGTAAGAAAACAGAAACTAGGGAGGAGTTAGGAAGCAATCATCTCATTGAGGGGTCAGGCATCTCATAGTCTGGTTGTGGTGATCTGGTGAGTTTCAGTAATTTGATACTTTTTGAGAGGCCTGAGGGATCCTTTCCTGAGGAAGCAATTCAAATAAAACAAATATAAGTTTCAAGCTTTAAGACCAGAAGTGATAATTTTTGCGTTTATCCAAAAACAACTGTCTATGGGAGTACTGGGTAATTTCAATTTCATACATGTAGGGACTGAGGCTGGAGAGGCCACTGCTGCACTCTCAGCCCCATCCACTGCAGAATCCCAGAGATATTTCTTTCTCGTTTCTCTGAAGTGTTGTGGTCATCTCGTGTTGTTCTGTTCCCATGACATTTTAGAGGAAAGAGGAAGAGGAGAGGAAGCGAGGAGAAGAGCAGATTCGCCTCCAGGAAGAGCAGAGGGCGAAGGAGCTCTACTGGACCCTGAAGCAGGCTCAGCTGCATTGCCAAGCCAGTGAGAAAGAGGAGCGAGAGTGGGAAGAACAGTGTGAGTAGAGCTTGTGCCTCAGGCAGGGAGACCAGTCCCGCCTCCCCACCCACCTCCTCCCAATGCTGATGTACTCATTCGTCATTTCCATTCGCTCACTCACCCCATCAGCCTTTACTTGGACCCGGCCATGTGCTCAGTCCTGCTAAGAATTTAGAGGGTAAGTTAGGCTTCATCCTTGAAGAGCTTACCTGCCTGTTGGGGATATTTCTTTTTCTTTTTCTTTTTTTTTTTGTTCTTTTTTGAGACGAAGTCTTGCTCTGTCGCCTAGGCTGGAGTGCAATGGTGCGATCTCAGCTCACTGCAACTTCTGTCTCCCAGGTTCAAGTGATTCTCCTGCCTCAGCCTCCCAAGTAGCTGGGATTACAGGCACCCGCCACCAAGCCCAGCTAATTTTCGTATTTTTAGTAGAGACGGGGTTTCACCAGGTTGGCCAGGCTGGTCTCAAACTCCTGACCTCAGGTGACCCACCTGCCTCGGCCTCCCAAAGTGCTGGGATTACAGGCGTGAGCCACCACTCCCAGCTGGGGATATTTCTTGTATTAAAAAAATAAAAGCCTAGCCTGGGCAATATAGTGAGACCCTGTCTCTACAAAAAAATAAGAAGTATTAGCTGGGATTGGTGGTGGCATGTGCCTGTAGTCCCAGCTACTCGGGAGGCTGAGGTGGGAGGATTGCTTGAACCCAGGAGGTCGAGGCTGCAGTGAGCCATGATTGTGCCACAGCACTGCAGCCTGGGTAACAGAGTGAGACCTTGTCTCATATTCTACCTTTACTAAGTTGCCAATAATTTCCTGGCTCTGTGCTAAGCCCTAGGGATCCAGGGATGAGGAATCACGGTGCTCATCCTGTAGAAACTCATCAACAAGAGCAGCAGACAGATATATAGACTAAGGGCTTGAAGGGAGGATGTAGCACATACAACATAGTTGTCCTGGTGGGTCTGCAGAAGAGGTGTCATGAAGTGAGGCTTGCTGGTGACACAGGAATAAGCAAGTCAAAAAGGCTGGGAAGGGCACTGTAGGTAGAGGCTCCAGCATGGGCAAAGGCTTGGTGACAAAGGAACACGGAATGCCTGGGAAGTGTGGGGTGGTGAGAGTTTGGGGAGTGTCAGGTTCGCAAGAAGCTAGGTGGGGAAGGGAAGGTGGAACTAAGTTTGGAGGGTGGTGCTTCCCTATGTACCTGGGATTTGTTTTATTTGGGTATGGTAAGACATGCAGGCCCAGAAATGACACTTGTAAAGGAAGACGTTTTTACTCACAGGTCCCTAGAGACAGGAGGCACGGCAGGCCATGCAGGGCCACATGGGGAAGCCCCAGGGTGGGTCAGGAGGCAGAGGGAGTGGGGGAAAACATGGGCAAGAGTGTTTATTGTGATTTCCTGGGGAAAGGTAAGGGGAGGCAGGCTAGGCAGGCTTCGGATTGGCCAGTGTAAATAACTAAACTGAGCTCTTGGGTGTAGGGGCTGTCTCTAGTTTTGCATCATCTGGCAGTGGGGTGATTAAGGCAGGGAGACAGTGGCTCAGAGTGTGAAAGCCCAACAAGGGAGGTAGTTGTATGGGCTTCTGACTGAATGGTTTGCATATGAAGGTGCACTTGTGGGCAAGCCCTTTACTGTCCCTACGAATTGGCTATTCCTGGGAGGGGCAATCTCTCCAGAATCAGAAAGGCCTCAGATGTCAAAAAATCAGAAAATACAGAAAATGAAAAGGCATGATTAATACACGTGGACAGTGGGAAACTTCCAAAGGCTAGTGACGCGATCTGGCAGGGTTTTGGGAAGAGAGCAAGGAGGAGGCTGTTGTGATGGTACACTTGACTGATGATTGCAACTGGGGCCATACAGGGAGAGCAGAGATGTGAGGTGTCTTCTACTGGCCAGCCTTCTGGTCCTCAGCATGTCTTAATCTTATGCCAGATTCATTAAATAGACTTGAAAATGGAGATACAACTTACATACCATAAAATTTAGCCTTTTAAAGTGTACAATTTAGTGGTTTTTAGTATACTCAAAAAGTTGTGCAATCATCGCCACTAATTCCAGAATATTTCTGTCACTTCAAAAAGAAACTCTGTACCGATTAGCAGTTACTCCTTCCCCCACCATATCCCTGGAAGTTACTCATCAATTTCTGTCTCTAGATTTGCCTATGATGGACATGCTACAACATGAATGGACCTTGAAAACATTGTGCTAAGTGAAGTCAGACACCAAAACATTATGTGGCTTTTGGTGTCTGACTTTGCTTAGCACAATGTTTTCAAGGTCCATTCATGTTGTAGCAGATATCATTCCTTCCTTCCATTTTATGATTGAATAATATTCTAATGTACGCATATACCACATTGTTGTTTGTCCACTTAACAGTTGATGAACATTTGGGTTGTTTTCACTTTTTGGCTATTTTGAATAATGTTGCTATGAACATTTATGTACACGTTTTTGTGTGAACATATATTTTCAATTCTCTTGAGTATTACCTATATGCCTAGGAGTGCAGTTTCTGGGTCATATGGTATCTTAGTCTTCTATTTTTATAACTGAATATCTGAGACTGAGTGACTTACAAAGAAAATAAATCTATTTCTTATAGTTCTGGAGGCTGGGAAGTCTGAGATTGAGGGGCTGAGTCTGGTAAGGGCCTTCTTGCTAGTGGCGACTCTTCAGAGTCCCGAGGCAGTGGAAGGCATCACATGGAGATGGAAGGTACACTAAGAGCCAAACTGGCTTTTTTTTTTTTTTTTTTTGAGTCGGAGTCTTGTTCTGTCACCCAGGCTGGAGTGCAGTGGCGTGATCTCAGCTCACTGCAACCTCTCCCTCCCAGGCTCAAGCAACTCTCCTGCCTCCCTAGTAGCTGGGATTACAGGTGTGTGCCACCACACCCAGTTAATTTATGTAATTTTAGTAGAGACAGGGTTTCATCATGTTGGTCAGGCTGGTCTGGAACTCCTGACCTCAGGTGATCCACCTGCCTTGGCCTTCCAAAGTGCTGGGATTACAGTGTGAGCCACCATGCCCAGTCCAAACTGGCTTTTATACAGGCCTGCTCTCTTGATAGCTAACCAACTCCCATGATGACCCATTAACCCATTAATACATTAATCCATGAAAGGATTAATCCATTCTTGAAGGCAGAGTCTTCATGATCCAATCATCTCTTAAAGGTCTCACCTCTTAACTGCCACACTGTCTTCCAAAGTGACTGCACCATTTTATATCCTTATTAGCAATGTATGAGGGATCTAATTCCTTGACGTCCTTGCCAACCCTTGTAATTTTTTGTGTTTTTTATTATAAAAGCCTTTCTAGTGTGTGTGAAGTGACATCTCATCGTGGTTTTGATTTGCATTTCCTTAATGACTAATGATGTTGAACATTTTAAAAATGTGCTTTATGGCTGTTTATATATCATCTTTGGAGAAATGTCTATTCCAATTATTTACCCATTTTTGAATTTTTGTTGTTGAGTTGCCAGAGTTCACTATATATTTTGGATATTAATTTCTTATCAGAGATATGGTTTGCAAATATTTTCTCATATTCTTTGGAGTTGTCTTTTCACTTTCTTGATAGTCCTTTGAAGCACAAAAAATTTTAATTTTGATGAAGTTCAATGTATCCATTTTTTTGGTTGTTTATGATTTGTGTCTTACCTAAGAAACCATTGCCTAATCCAAGGAAGGTCACACTGGCTTACACCTATCTTTGTTCTAAGAGCTTTATAGGTTTAGCCCTTACATTTAGGTCTTTGATCCATTTTGATTTAATTTTTGTGTGAGGTAGGGTTCCTACTTAATTCTTTTTCATATGGCCATCCAAGTTGTCCAAGCACCATTTGTTGAAAAGACTATTCTTTCTCCATTGGATGGTATTGGAACTCTTGTTGAAAATCAATTCACCAAAAATATGTCTGTTTCTGTACTCTGTCTCTCTGTCTCTTTTTTTTTTTTTTTTGAGATGGAGTCTCACTCTGTCACCCAGGCTGGAGTACAGTGGTGTGATCTCAGCTTACTGCAAGCTCTGCCCTATGGGCTCAAATGTCTATCCTCCCATTTCAGCATCCTGAGTAGCTGGACCACAGGCATGCACCACCATGCCTAGTTTTTTTTTTTCGTATTTTTATTAGAGACAGGGTCTTGCCATGTTGCCCAGTCTGGTCTTGAACTCCTGAGCTTAAACGATCTGCCTGCTTTGGCCTCCCTAAGTGCTGGGATTACAGGCGTCAGCCACCATGCCTGGCCTGTTTCTGTACTTTCAATCCTGTTCCATTGATTTATATGTCTGTTTCTTATGCCAGTATGACATAGTCTCGATTACTGTAGCTTTCTTGTACATTTTGAAATTGGGCAGTATGAGACCTCCATGTTTGTTCTTCTTTTTCAGGATTATTTTGGTTATTCTGAGTCCTTTGTATTTCCATTTCCATTTTAGAATCAGCTTGTCAATTGTTGCAATAAAGGTAGCTGGAATTTTGATAGTGATTACATGAAATCTGTAGATCAATTTGGAGAATATTGCTATCTTAACAATATTTAGTCTTCCAATTCATGATCACAGAATGTCTTTCCATTTATCTAAGTCTTTAAAAATCTCTTTCAATAATATTTTATAGTTTTCAGTGTAGAAGCCTTGCCCTTGTTTTGCTAAGTTTATTCCTAATGGCGTATTCTTTCTGATGCTATTATAAATAGAATAGTTTTCTTAGTTTCATTTTTGGATTGTTTATTGCTAGTGCATAGAAATGCAATTGACTTTTGTATATTGATCTTGTATCCTGTAACCTTACTAGCCTTGTTTATTAGCTGGAATGTATCTTTTTGTGTATTCCTTATGATTTTCTACATACAAGATAATTTCATCTGCAGATAGAGATAGTTTTACTTCTTCCTTTCCAGTTTGGATTCCTTCTATTTTGTTTTCTTACCTAATTGCTCTGGCTAGAACTTCCAATACTATGTTGAATGGAAGTGGCAAAAGGCAGCCCTCTCTTGTTTCTCATCTTAGAGGTAAATTTTTAGTCTTTCACTATTTTGTTTTGTTTTGTTTTTTTGAGACAAGGTCTCACTTTGTCACTCAGGCTGGAGTGCAGTGGCATTATCTCAGCTCACTGCAGCGTCAACTGCCTAGGCTCAAGTGACCCTCCTACCTCAGTCTCCTGAGTAGTTGGGACTACAGATGCACACCACCACATCTGGCTAATTTATATATATATATTTTTAGCGACGGGGTTTTGCCATGTTGCCCAGTCTGGTCTTAAAACTCCTGAGCTCAAGAAGTCTGTCCACCTCGACCTCCCAAAGTTCTGGGATTACAGATGTTAGCCACCATTTAATATGATGTTAGCTGTGGGTTTTCATACATAACCTTGGGTTCAGGAAGTTCCATGCTTTCTTAGATTGTTGGGTGTTTTTATGATGAAAGGGTGTTGGATTTTATCAAATGCTTGTTCTGCATCTGTTGAGATGATCATATGTTTTTTGTTCTTTATTCTATTAACGTGGTGCATTCCATGGCTGAGTTTCATATACTGAGCTAGTCTCACATTCCTGGGATAAATCCCACTTCTTTATAGCATATAATCCTGTTTATATGTTGCTAAATTCCATTTGCTACTATTTTGTTGAGGATTTTGCATCTGTATTCATAAGAGATATTGGTCTGCAGTTTTATTTTCTTTGATGTTTTTGTCTGGTTGTGATGTCAGGGTAATACTAGCCTCAAAGCACAAGTTGGAAAGTGTTCATTCCTCTTCTATTTCTCATGATGAATTTGTAAAGAGGAATTAATTTTTCTTGAAATATTTAGTATAACTCACTAGTGAAGACATCTAGTCCTCGGGTTTCTTTACGGGAATTTTTTTTGATTACGAATTTAGTCTCTTCACTTGTTATGAACCTTTTTCTCTTGAATAAATGCTCACTGAATTCCTGTAGGCCTTTGGTTAATTTCTAACAATCTGAGAAAGTTGGCTCTGAGGATTTTCCAGTGTTTTCATTGTTTTATGGAAGAGAGGATTTTCAGAGGACCTTAATTCACCTTTTCCACTGATACCTTTTTAAGCTGACATATAATTAATTTGGTGCCAGTCCTAAAACACCCAGAACTTCTGGGACAAATCTGGGGCCATAACTGGGCAGTTGGGAAGGTGGATGGGTGGAAAGTATTTAATTTTGTGTTGAATCTTTTTTTATTCCCAGTGACCTAGCATGTAATCAAATGCTGGAAAAGGAATAAACCAAACAGCGTCTAAAAAAAAAATTAAAAAAATTTAAAATTTAATTTTTATTTTGTACAATTTTTGCACCATGAGGCAGTTGCAATTTTTAAGACACCAGTGTTCCTTCTGCTTCTCAGCATTGATGTCTCAATCAGATTTTCTTAGGTCTCTTGGGCCCTGGCAGACCAAGGGCTGTGTGCCCAGGCCCAGAACAGAGATTATCCTGTATGCAGATGCCTCAGAGTAGCAATGCCAGCACAGTGCAGTGCAAGCCTCATCTCTCAACCAGGTCTTCTGTTTCTCTCTCCTAGGGACTTACTGTTGTATTTACAAAAGAGCTTGAAAACTGGGCTGTCTTTGCTCTCCAAGCTCCCTTATGGCTGCTGTTTTCACATATGTTTATGCTGAAGCCCACTAGGTAAAGAAGGTGTGAGCAGCTGGCCCGGGTGAGGAAAGTGAGGGGGCCCATGGTCCCTGGTCCCCTGAATCTTCCCCGCTTCAGGGACCCCTCTGTGAAACCCTTTGGGCTGTGTGTAATATATTTTCAACACTATTGCCCTGGCCTAGTGGCTGCCTTTAGCTTGAGATTATTTTTTCTATTAAGGAAAGTTCCCTTCCTACCTGAGTGACTGCTGCACTCAGAGGCTCTTTGAATCAATGAAAGCCTAAGAGATTGTGCTATTCAGATAAGAGTCAAATCTCAGGCCCACTCCAGCAGTGTAAGCAGGGGACAGACTCCTCTGTCCTCTCCTCCTGGAGTACCAGAGTGGCGAGTCCACCCAGTTCTTCAATCCCTCCTTAATAGCGTGTTCAGGGAGTAGTCCTATCATTGGTTTATGGGAGATGGAAAATGATTGGTTCTCTCTATTTGGAATGAGAATGGAATCACATTATGGAATGCATGTGTATGCAGTTGAAATTACAGTGGGATTTTGCTTTTAAGTCTCCATTCCTTGTTACTTGGGTATTGGTGTGTCCTTGGGCTGGGGAGGGAAATGTGGGTGGGGTCTGTTTATATTCAGGACCATGCCTCCTTTTCTCTGTTGACCTCTTCCAGCCTTGGGACCTGGGTTTCACTGTTACCAGTTACTTCTTCCTTTCAGAGTTAAAATTATACAAATGCAACATTGTGGTCAAAGCTCATTTTTTATCTGGGGCAAGCTCCTAGGCGATGCCTCAGGGGCATACGCTCAGGAGAGAGTGTTCCCCTTGCTCATTGATAACGTCTGGGCAGCTGCTGTTGAACTATTTCATGCCCATTCACACATGGGTTGGAGTTGTTTTAAGAATTGCCAAATACTGCTAAAAACTGTGCCCTCACTAAATTCATCTGAATGCCCCAAACCCTGAGAGTTCACAAAGCCTTAGGACAGTCATTGCTCATGAGCCGAGAACAGCCTCATAGCAGAGCATTGGCATTTCTACTGTGTACTGATAAGGAATCTCAGGCTCAGACTCAATAGGGAGGTCGGGGCATCAGGCGCAAATGAAGGCTTTTCTTTTTCCTTACTCTTGGCCTAGTGTTCTGGCCTGCAGCTTAGGTATCTCCAAAAGCAGCCTGTAGGAGGGATGTCTTTGGTCATTGGCCTCACAGGCCTCCAGGGGTCCATGCACAGGTAGTTCCTCATGGGTTCCGTCCTGTGGAGTTACTGCTGGGCATTCCAAGGACTGCCGAGGGGTGGCTGAGGTTGCGGGAACACTAAGCAGACATTACAGTCTATAACAAGTTTGTTTGAAATAACAGAATAAAGGCAGATGGAGGCTCTATCTTTACTGAAGTTCAGTGCTGGTGCGTAGCTCAACATTGATCTTACTCGCAGAACGTTTCCCTGCAATGCTTCCTCCTGCCGCTTGGGGGAGATGCTTGTCATCTGCACCCAGTTAAGACTGAGGAGCAACAGTATACGCTTGGCCTTCGGTATTCTTGGGTTCTGCATCTGCGGATTCACTCAACCTCTGACAGAAAATATTTGGAAAAAAACAATAAAAAATAACATAACAATAAAAATAAAAATACAGTATAGCAACTATTTACATAGCATTCATATTGTATTAAGTATGATAAGTAATCTAGAGCTGATTTAAAGTATATGGGAGGGTGTGCATAGGCTATACGCAATCCCTACACCATTTTATAAAAGGGGCTTGAGCATTCGCAGATTTTGGTATTCATGAGAGATGGGGAGTGGAGGAGGGGTTTCCTTGAACCAATCCCCTGAGGATGCCGAGGGACAATTGTACATCAATTGAGCTCCTACTGTATGCCAACCATTGTATTAGACATATTTCCTCCCCTCAAAATCTCAGCCTGGAAAAAGAGGCTTACATGCCCGAGTTACAGTTCAATAGGTAGGTGTGCCAACATAGGTTTGTATAAAATACATGGGGAGGCCAGGCACAATGACTCATGCCTGTAATGCCAGGACTTTGGGAGGCTGAGGCAGGTGGATCACCTGAGGTCAGGAGTTTGAGACCAGCCTGGCCAACATGGTGAAACTCCATCTCTACTAAAAATACAAAAATTAGCCAGGCATGGCGGTGTGCACCTGTAATCCTAGCTACTTGGGAGGCTGAGGCAGGAGAATCTCTTGAACCCGGGAGGTGGAGGTTGCAGTGAGCTGAGATCGTGCCATTGCACTCCAGCCT